>NC_000009.12:101705400-101856915 GCF_000001405.40 Homo sapiens
ACCTTCCCACTCCAGCTCCCCATCCCGCTGAAAGCCACATTTACTGCTCAATAAAGTCTCCACATTCATCACCTTTTAAACAGTTCGTGTGATCTGATTGGTCCAGGATGCCGGCCAAGAATCCGGGGGTTAACAGCCGTCCCTGGATGACAAGGCTAAAGGAGCACACTGTAACACACGCTCACTTGGGTTCCGGCACCTGTTCATCTGCGTGCTCCCCCTCGTCTCAGGGGTTTGAGCAACAGGGCCACCGAACAGACAAGCCACACCCCTGCCACACGTCCTGCAAAGGGGGATCAGAGAGTGAAAAAATTAGCTAACATTTCTCTCTCGTTTCACATTCATAGAGTGAGAAAAATAGCTAACATTTATTGGATGCATGTTTATGGTGTGCCAGACACTGTCCTAAGTGCTTTACAATTATTTATTCATTTAATCCTCACAACTCTATGATGTAGTAACTACTAGTTGCTCCATTGTGCAGAGGAAGAAACTAAAACCACACCACTGTTAAGAAGCAAAGATGAAATTCAAAATCAAGCTCTACAGGCAATATTTTCAATCATTACATTTTACTGTCTGGTGAGACTGTTAAAAAAAACGAGAAGCAAGAATCATTTCAAGTAAATTCATAATTATAATAATAAGTTCCATGGACCTAAAGTAAGAAATATAAGAAGCGACCTAGTCTGGGGAATCAGGGAAGATTTTCTTAGATGTCAGAACTGAGATGGAAATGATTTAATGAATTTATATTTTATTCCCTTCAGCCTTGTTCTGCCCTACCTAATACTACTTGAACTTCCTTTTCAAAGAAATACAGATAGAGGTGCCTCATTGACAATTTGGTAGTTAATTCATTGTTATGACCTTTCCACTTCCTGCAATGTAATCAATCTCTGCTGTTGCTTAACATAATGTGAAGCCAGAACAAATGCATATGGGTCAGATGCACTTAAATGACTTCCATGGGTGGCCATGGTCTGTCTTCAGGAGGAACATGAATTTCTGACAGCTTCAATAGTAACCTTAAGATGTGAACAATATTAGTATTGATTCTTTTGTGACCCATTCTAGTCACTTGCAAATAAAGCCATTGTTTAGAAAGGGATTGGAGGTATTTAAGAATATCAGAATCAGATTATGCAATCAGGGTGCTGGAAAGACTGACATTACTGCATTTGATTTATGACACATAGTAAACCATTTCAGGGAAATAGTGCCTCCCCTTTTAAAGCTGGTCATTAGGAGAAACTTCCTCATTGTCCAGGTGGTGAGCACTAGAGTGTGCTACCAGAGGAAGTCATCACAGGTTCTTTTCAAGCAACCATTCATTTAATTCTCAGATGGACCAGGAAGCTTCAATTTGTTCCTTGAACACAGATTTCTTTCTTCACCCCAGCCCTTACCTAAAAATGTGGAACGTTGCACACAAGGGAGACGGAGAGAAATAATGAGAGTGAATGTGTTGTCAAATGACCAGGTTTTATAGTCTCTCAAGTCAGGGAGATTGATCTCCCTTTTTTCCCTTCTCACTTTCAAATGAAACTCACAGATTTCAGAAAAGAAACCACAATCTTGTAATGAGGTGGTGAGACTAAATCAGCAAATGAGAAGCAAAAAACATCCTAACAGCAATTATTCAACAGCCGCTAAAATTTGCAAAAGATGCCAGTATCTCCCAGGAGAGTAAACAATCATGATGTTGAAATGTCAACTGTGCAAACAGCAGGTTAAAAATGTAGTGCAAAATTTCCCAGCAGTAAGTATTTTTTCTTATGGAGTGTAGCAGTATGCACAATAGTCTGTAAGTAGCCCCAGGGTTGTAGCTACATCAGCAGAAATGTCTGTACTTCTTTGTCCATGATAATGGTGTAATGAACTGAACTGCAGACATGCTGGCTGGATAAATTTACTATCACCAATTATTGTTTATATCTAATAAGCTTAAATGATAGAATCCAAATCCAACTCGGAAAAGCATCCATTTGACTGCTCTTCTTTATGGCTACTTTATTATCTGATGCTGTATACATTTGGCACAGTCAAGAAAAACCTCCCTTTTGGTTGCCCTGGTAATGCCTTCTTCATATGTCCTCTGAAGTATTCCAGATTGGCAGCTTCTGAGAAGTAAGAAATGAATATAGAGGGGGGTCATATTATTTTAAAGCTAAACTATTTTTAATACACTCATCTCTATAGTTTAAGCAACATTGATTTTGTTTTGATTTAGCCTTTTATCATTGTTCCCAGTAATAACAGAGACATTTCTAACACTATATATGCCTAAAATTTTAAGACAATATTGAGACAATTATTTGTACCCTTAATTGTGGCAAGCAACCACAGTTAAGGAATTAGGATTTGGGATTAGTGGATAGCGAAGTTTGGCTTCCTTTTTGGAATACTCCCTTTCAGAATTGTCCTGGGAAAGGCCATTGCTACAATTCTTCAAGCTTAATGTTTCTGCTAGGGAGGGGAGTGGAAAGGAGCATGAAGGCCGAAGTTGCTCACTTCTCCCTTGATAGTTCTTTGGCGAGGCTTTCCTTTTAATGTTGACTCATTGCACCCTGCTGATTATCAAGTGGGGAAAAAAAGAGAACTCCTCATTGCAAAAAGGTCTGTGGGGGGTAAGGGCCAGTCTATGGAAGCACCACATATGTAATAGACTTAGAAAAAAGGAGAATGAGAACAATGCTACAATTTAGATGAAGAGTGCAAAATGAGTTAGTTGCTGAGAATAAAATATTTTTCAATCAGAAGGGTCCTGAGGCCCTGTCAGTGAATGAACGCTAATAGTAGTCAATGGATCACTAAGTAACTAATGTGATCTTGATTTTAAGACTTGAATAGTAAATTAGACTTCATGATTCTCAGGAATTTAACATTATTTATGCAGAGCAATGTGTTGTCCAGTGTTGAGGAGACTGGAATTATACGTCTTTTATGTATCTTTTTGAATAAGATAATGTGGTTTTTGTGACAGCTTTATAGATAAAGCCAATTACAGCATATTTTCTTCCATTGGCACTAGGGGACTATTTTGTAGCATTGCTAAGCCATAGTAGTAGAAAGCACTATATGAAAGGAGAGATGGTGTCTTGTGGCCAACCCCCCAAATGAGATCAAGGTCATAGATATTAATGTGGTCTAGGAAATACGTATATGATCCCTACCATGATAGGGTTCTGTTTATATTATAGAAATAATAGAAGTATGGTAATGGGTCATTTTGGCTAAGAGATCCAGAATTAAATTTATCATCTTTGTTCAAAGCATAAATCTTCAGAAATAATGGAGTAGTGATTTGTCTTATGCGTTTCTATGGCTAGCCTGACATTTTTATGCTAGATGAGTGAGCATCTACCTTTCACATTATAAGGTCTATGCTAACATCTCCCAGATGTTTATCAAAAGTCCTCAAAGTAACTTTGCAGACTGTCACATAAAATTTCGCAGTAAACCTCCAACATATGAATATGTCATAGGACATATTTTATAAATCCCACACAATAGTAGAAAGCTCAAGATTGAATCTTTAACTCTTGTAAATGTTTTCAGAAACCTTTGGAAAGGATTCTAAATGATAGTAACACACAGGCAATTTCAAAATATTCCTATGACCCTTGGCAATGGACTCACTCTTTAAACAGCCTGCTCACATTTTCCTAGCCATAACCTGTATTCTAACTCTTTGTTTTTTTTTTCTTCTCTTTTGAAATTGAATTTTTCTAGGAAGATGAGATGCTTACCCATTTCTAGAGGCCGGACATGATAAAGGAAGCTAATGATAAATATGTTAATGTGTATTTGAGGTCAAATAGGTCTCAGAAAATTCAAATGACCTTTTCTGGTAAGAAATAAGATTCATTATTTATCTATGTCACCAGCTTCAGATGATAATAAATACAGTTTCAAGGTGCTAAGGGGGTAATCTAAAGGCAGCTTTAAAAAATATACCATTTATTGAAACAGAGTACAATTTTCTGCTTATGGGACCTTTGGTAGAATACACTTGGTTTTGTGGAGGCAGCAGAGCCTGGTTATTAATGTGTCAGGAGGGAAGTTAGGACCTACGAATTCCATAGTTGATGTTGTAGCAGCTCACGCTGCCGTCTAAGTTCTCAGAAGGACCTCTGCATCTGTAGTGATTTAGAGGAGAGAGAACTGGACTTAAAATCAGAAAATTTTATTTTTTTACTTGCTCGGTAAAATAAATTACCCAACGCTCAGTTTGTTCATTTGTAATTTGGGAGAATAATGCCTTCCTCTCAAAGTTGTTTTAGGTTTTTACGTATATGCAAGGTTAAGTGACTGAAATTACTTTGCAAATTGTAAAATGCATATCAAGGTGAGTGATTATTTTTATTACACAAGTACAAAAATGTTTTAAAAATTATTATACAAGTACCCAAGGCCCCAAGGAAGTGAAACACTCTAGCCTGACTCTACACTGCATTTATTCCTTTTTCAGTTATGAAAGACTCAGAGAATGATAGATGTCATTTTATGATCTATCAACATGATGGCTTAAAGAACATTTCAAAAAGTGTTGCTTGGATGCCTTGAACGTAAACCTATTCTACATAAAATTGGTCTCTTTTACTGTTATTCTCTAAATTGTTTTTCCTGGAAATCCTGTTTTAGAGAACTCCGGGTGAATCTCAGTGATTTTGGGGTCCGGGAGAAGAAAATACAGAGATTAGATTTGAAGTATGGACAGTATCAGTTCAGTCTTTAAGAACAGGAGAGGTAATTATAGGTAAATGATCACTGGGAGTCTAGGCAGGGTAGAGATGGGTGGGTGGAAACTGGGGAGCTAAGATAATTAAGGCTCTAAGTCTCAACTATCAAAAAATCTTAAATGACAGATAGTAGCTATTTGGTATTCCAACAAATCTTTCTATTTTGGAGAATTCTTACTGAGTCTCATGCATACACACAAATTAACATAAAAATTCACTTGTTGTATAGAGAATGTCAAGTATATGCAAATACTGGTAATCTTTTGCAGACATCAGTGGCATCAATGTATATATTAAGATTTGGCAGATGACTGATGCCCCAAGTCCATATTCAAGGGTAAGAATTTAGTGTTTGGATGGAGATCTCCTCTAGTTTAGAGATCTGCAATAGGCTGATACCTTCCAATTTCCACCCTGTTCTGTGGATTCATGTTGTAACTCAGGGATTTCTATTTATGGCAAAATTATATAATCAGTTTACTCAAGTTGCTTTCCTAAGGGAGGGACGACTGAGAAAAGTCAACCTCTGGTGATGAGGTATCCCAGGTAGAAATTTTGCCAAACAATTATGGTAACATTATGTGGTACAGAGTTGACTGGCAACCAGACATGGTTTTAGGCACTCTGAATGACAAAGCAGATGGCTAAAGCAAATCATTCACATTAATAGATTTCTTCTAAAGTTTGAATTGTCTGATTTTGACTGTTTAGTTCAGATGAATTGGAAAATTGCAGTCTCCACAGCTCTGAGCAGTTATGCTATGTTTTCTCATATACATACATATAATAAAATTCAATTTATAAATTAATTGAAGAGATTAATAACAATAACTAATAACAAAATAGGACAATATAACAATATACTGTAATAAAAGTTTTGTGAATGTGGCCTCTCTCTCTTAAAATATCTTACTGTACTGTACTCACCCTCGTCCTTCTTGTGATAATGTAAGATGATAAGATCCCTATGTGATGAGATGAAGTGAGGTGAATGGCATTGGCATTGTCACAGAGCATTAGGCTACTACTGAACTTCTGACCATATGTCAGGAGGACCATCTGCTTTGGGAGATCCTGGATCATCGAGCCATGATGACATCTATGGTTGGATGTCAGGGGCAGATGATGCTGATAACCAACAGGCGGGTAGTGCATACAGCCCGGATTCACTGACCGAAGGGATGATTCACACATCCCGATAGGTCAGGGTGGGACGGTGGGAGATTTCATCATGATACTCAGAATAGCGTCCAATGGAAAACTTATGAATTGTTTATTTTCGGTTGACTATGGGTAACTGAAACCTTGGAAAGCAAAACCTTGAAGAGGGGAGACTACTGTATTCCACCCATTACGTTTCTGGTTCTGGTGGGCTTTGCCAGTAGAGGCCACTAGGGGGAGACTGCAAGACTGAAGGAAGAGAAAGGGTTTGCTGCTTCTTGTCTGTCTTTTCTGTCTCTGATTTGCTTTCTGTGGGTTACCTGACTGCTCTAGGTTCCTGTAAGCATCACCCCAGCAATACTTCTTCAACTTGTTAGTGGTTCTTTTCCAGGGCAGTGGCGGAATCTAGTGCTGTCTTTCAAAACTGGAGATAATTGATAGCGAAATGAGCATTGGAAAGCTGGACAGAGTAGGGGTGGGTGAATGGAAACTAGAGAGCTAAGATAATTAAGGCTCCAAGTCTCGACTTTCAAAAAATCTTTAATGAGAGACAGTAGCTATTTTTCAATATTTGTAGAACCACTTTATTCCGTGCCCTCGGAGATACCATCAACCAGCAGGGTAAAGGTCTGAACCTGAGCTCTTTAGGGTCCCTCCTTGGAGCTCAACGATTCCATCACCAGCTGAGCAACACCCCTTTTCCTCAGATGCCTGAATTTCAGCTTTATGGGGCTACCCCTCTAAGCCTCTAAATATTTCTATTTCCAGTCTCTTGTTCTTTCCTCAGCTCAATGAATGGCAACTGCTTGGAGAATTTAAATTCACGATATCATAAAGTTCTCCTATTATCCTTCCAACTACCTAATTGACAAGTTTGTACTTAATTAACAATTCTTTTCATTAAAATTTCACTCTTCAAATAACTGACTAAGTCTCACCAATACACTTACTATCTGATGGTTTAATTAATTACTTGGAAAACCTAGAAAGATCTTGATTTTGCACTAAATTTCTCTCTTAATGACTATCACCCAGAAGAGCCTTTTGAACTACAGAGTGCAATTCTTCCTGGACTTCACTAGCTTCAAACCAGGTCATGGGTTTCACTGTACTTCAGAGCTGCTTCAAAGTTACAGAACTAAGTGGAAGAACAAATGAGGTAGACAAGGCAGTGAGTAGGAAATGGTGGGAAAGCCTGGATGGAAATGAAATGACTGACTTCTTGTTCAACCCCAAATTACAGTGATGGATCACCATTCTAGAACTCATCCATAAGATTCCAATAAAATGCAGGAACTGATCTGATGAAGTGCCTCTCAACTTCCCAGTAAAATATCAAATAAGACACAAAAATATGAAAGCTCACCACTCTAAAAACATCTACTAATAATCAGCTTATTGCTAGAACAGAAGGATATTGCACAAACTACCAGCTAGTGGAAACAGAATAAAAAATATGAGATCGTTATTCCATGTAACAATGATATAACTAATATTCCTGGAAACACTTATTATGGACAAGGCAATTCTTAACACTTCATAGAAATTATTTCATTTAATCCTTATTAAAACTCAATGAGACAGATCCTATTATTTCTATCTTATGGGATGAGAAAAGATTAAGATTAAGATTCCTATCTTTGTGAATGAGGAAACTAAGGCATAGAGAGCTTAGGTGACTTAATCATTGCATTCCACTAGTAATTGGCAGAGATGGGATTCAAACCCAGGTAATCTGGGTCTTCTGGCTCTTAATTCCTTTAAAGACTTCCATCCCTTTCCTTCGGCCATTTAGTTCAATTGGAAAAGTCACTAGAGCTCCTCTACTGCATGGGCTCTGCTTTCTGGGGCAGTCAGAATGACATTCAATCACTTCTCCGCCCTGATGAACATTTTTATTATTTAATGTAGGCATCTCCAAGAAGAACGTGTTTGGGAGAGGTTTAATTCCCACAGGAAAAACACCATAGGAGGTAGAAGAATTAGACATTCACCCCAGCAGACATGGAACTGACAGCTGTGTTATTTTTAAATGTACTTGATTGGTTCAGATCAGTGATTCCCAACAAAAAGGGCATATCAGAAACACCTGGGAAATTTGTTACATACACAAGCTGATGCCTTCTAAGATTTTGAACCAGGAAGTCTAGGATAGAGCCTAGGTATGTATTCAGTAAAAGATGACTAGGTAGAGGAACTGTGTATCAGAAAGCAATGCAGCAGAGGATAAATAAATTCCAGCTTGGGTTACCAGAATCACACCACATGCCTGATGGCTGCTGACAACTGGGATTTGGTTTAGGCAATGTGCTTGGTAACTTAGTGTCTATCTGCATTTATTAGAAGGGGATTTAGCTAGCACATAAGTGAATCCTAAGTTAGACGGTGCAGTCCAAGTAGCCTATTGGTTGGTAAACAGAGGGTATGGATGGGTTCCTTATTGTTTTTAGAATAAGAATTCTTCCCGCCAATTAAAACCAAAACCAAGACTGGGTATGGTGCCTCACACCTGTAATCCCAGCACTTTGGGAGGCAGAGGTGGGAGGATTGCTTGATGCCAGGAGTTCAAGACCAGACTGGGCAACAGAGTGGAGCCCCCATCTCTACAAAACAAAAATAAAAAGTAAAAACAAAAAATTAGCCCTTGAGCCCAGGAGTTTCAGTGAATTCTGACTGTGGCACTGCACTCCAGTCTGTGCAACAGAGTAAGATCCTGTTTCTGAAAAATAAAAATTAAAAACAAAACAAGGAAGCAACATGGGCCCTTACAAATGGTATAGAAAAAGGCAAAGAAACTAAACGCTGTAGAACAAGGCAAAGAAAATAAAGGACGCATTATGAAAACGATTTACTTTAGAAGCCAAAAGAAAATTGGAAAAGAAAAACCCTGACATTTACATAACAAGCAGGATAATTTGATTTTTATGAAACATGAAAAATTCACTAGAGAACATGCTGAGATAGACAATAATAGGATGGAATGAAAAGAAAGTGTGATATGGAAAGAAACAGGAAAAGTAAATCCAATAATAGATTTCAAATTATGCTTTGGAAACATAAAAAGCTTGGCAAATATTGCAAACATTGAATTAGTGAAGTGGAAGACAAAATTAAGAAAATCTTACAGGATATAGAACAAAACGATCAACAACTATAAATAGTGAGAGAAAAGAGGGGAAAGTGGCTGTGTGTGTCAGTTAGAACTCAGACAGCTCCTCTTTTATTCCTATTGTCCCCTGTAGTTATTAGCACTTCTCCCTTTTCATTTTCAAATTTTTCTGGTTGGATATAAACTATTTGGCCACCTGATGTATAGGGGATAAACAAGAGAACCCCAACCTAAGAATTATGCCCCTAAGAAAGAAGCCATTACAAAAACAGAAGTGCTAGTGAAAAATACATCAAGATAAATTTTTTTCTGGGATTAAAAAAAATGTCAATTTGATGGACCCAAATTAATCTTGACAAAATCAATGCAAATGAACTATTCATAGACATGTCTGACAAAATGTTTTAATTAGAAAAACTGTCAAATATTTTGGAAGAAAGAAAACTAAAAAGGTGATCTTCAAAGGGATAAATGTAAATATCATGGGCTTCTCAGTTCTGCTACATTAAATGTCCAATGATCATAAAGTGATATCTAAGTGAGTTTATTTGGGAAAGAATTTTATGCCCTGTCAATCTGTCTTTTATTTTTAAGAAAAATAACAAAGACAGGCTGGAATACATAAGGATGTGGAAAATATGCCATTCATATACTCAATATGAAAAGGATCCTTGGACATTCTTCAATCAACTAGTATTATTTTCCTCTTCCAGGAATGTATGATAAGGAAATAAGAGCCTGTGAATAAAGACCTTTATCATGGGACATTTTGTGACAAAAATGGTAAAAAAAAAAAAAAAAAAAGAAAATGTCAACATTCTATGCATATCCAAGAGCCTGGAATAATAAGCAGTTAATAAAATAATGGTGTGGGTGGACCATGGGCGTCCCATTACATGGGAAATACTGGCAATGCCATATTAAATGAAATAATCTAAATAGAAATTCTCCATGTTTAAGGCCGGGCATGGTGGCTCATGCCTATAATCCTAGCACTTTGGGAGGCTGAAAATGGGAGCATCTTAAGGCTAGGAGTTCAAAATTCTCCATGTTTAAAGAAAAAGTTTTATGTAACAAATGCTAGGATAAAATATCTCAACAAATTAAGAGTGATTGTCTCTGGATAGTGGGATTAAAATTTCTTTTCTAAAGTTTCACATTTTTTTGATTTTTATCATTAGAAAAAAAATCAGCAAAACAGGTAGAGAGATATGATTCATTTGAAGTCTGTGGAGACTCATAAAAGTTTCATGACATAATGAAAGTGAGCAAGTAGAAAACAAAGTCAGTTGTACATGACAATTTCAGGAGTTCATTCATTCATTCCTTAACAAATATCTGAGTGATTACTATGAGCAAAACAGTGTAATAGACCCTTGAATTACAATGGCAAATAAAACAGAAAACAATAACCTCCCAGAAAAACAAAAATTGGAAGGAAATATATGTTAAGGTGGTGAAACTGTGAATCTTTTGCCTTGTAAATACATTTTTAAACATCACCATTACATTGTTTTTATATACAAATTATTATATTTTAAAAAAGTAGATATATCAAGAATGCAATAAAATGAAAGCAATCTTTCTAGAGCAATGTAGCCCAGACTTTATCCACTTTTTCCAAATCATCCAGAAGAATTCTCAAGTCCATTTATTTAGCAACTTTTTTCGCATGGAATTTGGAAACACTAAAGAGTGGAAGGAAGAGCAGAATTAAGAGAGGAAAGGACAATGAGGGGACTGAATGGCTTTGTCATCACAATCTTGTTAATTATCACATAGAAATGTCAGTTTTTTTTTAAACACACACATGGAAATTAAGAAAGTGTGTTAGCTTTTTGCCATGAGATTGCTTTTCTTTAGTGCCTCTTGAATTTTAGTGTGAGGGAACAGAAGCCTGAGGAAACAGAAAATAAAGAACTCACATTTAAAAAAAATGAATACATATTACATGTCAGCTGCTGTCATTAATCCACTTGATATAAGCTATTCTATTTAATTAATACCTCAAACACTATGAGTAGTTATCATTATCTCATTATTTCTATTTTATGAGTAAGGTTTTCTAAACTTCATTTATGGGCATGTTATGAATAGAATGGATTATATTCATTATCTTTTAGAGCCTTTTTTCTTTCTTGTCTCTTGCTTTCACATGAGGGTATCCACCTGTCCTTTACATTATATACTTATTCTAGCTCTTTCTAGCTGTACCTTAAAGGAACTGTACTTGTTATGATTACAGGCCTATCCTATGCCATCTTCCATTACTCAGCCAGGCAGTGAGGCGTTTCTGGCTAATACTTGTCTGCTTTACAAATCCCTTGATATTTCCTAGTCCAGAAGGTGTTGAACTGGTGACCCTCCAGCACTAGCAGGCATGCAGTTTGTTTTTTAAAAAGTGAGTAAGTTGTCAACATTTAAGGGGATTTTTACATTAAAAAAATCCAGTCTGGCTTCCCTTGAAAAGTCAGAATATCTGGCAATGTTCCCTGTGAGTAACAGCTGGTTGCAGCTGAGTAGTAGCTGGCTGGCTGCTGTAGAAAGGCCAGGCACTCTTCAGTGACATACGATATCACTACTCCCTACTGTATTATTTGGGACTGTTTTGGACATTTCCATTACCTTCATGGCCTCTAGAAGGCATCTGAGTTGGAGACCTCTGCCCCAGGTCATTGATTCTCAAACTGTACTGTGCATATATGAATAATCTGGAGGAGTTTGTTAAAAAGAAAACAGATATATGAGGTCATAGCATATAATATAGTGGAATTCAGTGAGGCTAAAATTCTATACTTTAAAAACTACCAAATGTGATTTTTTTTTCCCAGGTGGTTCCTGGTCACATTTTGAAAATCACGTTGGATGACACTCTTAGGATAATGTGGTCCAAAAAACAAAAAACAAATGATACTCAGATCGTGTGTGAAGTTGTTTGTTTGCTTTTTAAATAGATTTCTGTGCTCCAACCTCAGGAGTTCTGATTTGATAAATCTGGGAATCTACATTTTGAAATTATCTGGGTGCTGCTAACAAACAGATGGCTACCACACCCGGCGGCTGAAACCTAAAGAGTCGTACTTAATGACGGATGAGCAGTGAGTAAAACAGGAAGTTAGGAATAGACTTGGCTAATCTTACCAAGATCTGAACTCTTGTCTGATTTCCCGATACTTTGTTTGACAGGAGATAACAAGGTAAAATACAGTTCCAGGCTTTTCCTTTCTCACTGATGATTATTTCCAGTAAATTTACTTTTCATCAACTTTGACTTTCTCTAATTTTAAATGTCAAGAATGTTTGGCTACAAAAATATAGAGAAATTCGCAGAAGAGGTGAATGAGGAGTTGGGAAAGCAGTGGTTCAAAGATGTGAGAACAATGTCACTTTCTGTCATTTGTGGTCTGTGGCAAATTGGAAATGATTTAGGGAGAATGAAGGAAGTAGGAAAAGTTTAATAGGGTAGTAGAAACAGGTTTTCTATTTATTACAAAATCAATTTCCCCAAGGCCTTACTTTTCCAGCTTTGTTCTACATCTTATAACATGGTAAATTCTAGGTGGTCAGGAGTTCTGTCCACCGCAGTGAATGAGGACCCTCTTTCACAGGGCCTTGCACTCTTTTAGGTTCCCATCACCATACCTTGACATATGGTGGGTTTTCCACAGGTGTGATTTAGCAGTTACACTAGAATGAATGAAAGTGGACCATTAATTCAGTTTAACCAATAGTCATTGAGCATCTATTATGAGCCAGACATTGTGTGAGGAGCACAGGGTTTGGTCTAGTGAGAGAGGAGGAGAGAGACACATGTTAACAAATAATTACATAACTGTATGACAGATCTAGAAAGATGACCGTAGAAAAGTCACATAGAAGTGAAAGTTGTCAATCATGGTAGGGAGAGAGTGGCCAGTGTACCATGCACAGAAGAGCAAAGGATGAAGATTGAATTTCAGGCAGACACAAGGGAAAATGGTATGCCAAGCAGTGAGAACAACATGTGCATATGCTTGGAATAGTATTCCACATTTAGGCATTACTGGAGCACAAAGTACAAAGGGCAAGTGTTAGTATGAAGAATAAATGAGGAGAGGAGTGATGTGAGGATCAGATAATGAAGGGTCTTGAATGCTACGCTAAGCTGCTTAGAATTCACCTTATAGGTTACTGTTTGGCAGAGTGTAGGTGATTCATGAGATGATTTTAGGTTGTTCAGAAACTTTACATTAATATAACACTGAATCACATAGTGAGAAACTTAATTCCTTTTCAATTAGCATTTAATCCATCTGTTTACTTAAGCAGAAAGCCTCAGTTTGGTGTCAGCGTGTCTTTAACACTTTTATAGCACCTAGAAATTTCCTCTTTTAAAAAAGTACTCAGATTCAGACCTCAGGCAGGCAAGGGTACCTAGCTAGAACTGTTTAGTTTTTATTGTGTATTTATTTTTATAGTTAATTTCTATTTATGGCAAATGGTACTGGTATTTCATTAATGTTGTCATGAAAAGATTTTTAAAAGTGAATTTATTTAGGTAAAACAACAAGTTAATTTAAAACATTAATAGCAGTAGATGATGCAGAGATATGGCAAAAATTATGAGGGCAGTAACTGAATGCCTGAAGTTTGGGACATACTGCTGCCATTTAGGGGTTTAAGCAGGTTAGTACACCGATTCTCTTTCTGACAGAAGCTGGGACAAGAGAATAGAAGTGGTGGGCCGGGCGCAGTGGCTCATGCCTGAAATCCCAGCACTTTGGGAGGCCGAAGCGGGCGGATCACAAGGTCAGGAGTTTGAGACCAGCCTGGCCAACATAGTCAAACCCCTTCTCTAATAAAAATACGACAAAATTCGCCGGGTGTGGTGGCATGCGCCTGTAATTCCAGCTACTCAGGAGGCTGAGAGAGGAGAATCGTTTGAACCTGGGAGGCAGAAGTTGCAGTGAGCTGAGATTGCACCACTGCACTCCAGCCCAGGCAACAGTGTGAGACTCCATCTTAAAAAAAAAAAAAAAAGGTGGTAAAGGATGGGTTAGGAGGCCATTTAAATTTCAGTGTTTCAATGGCCTCTTAAGTCAGTTAGGAGCCATTGAAATACTGTAGGCAGAGATGGTATGGCCATGGTTAAGCTTACTGATTTATTACTGATCTCTCCTAGAGTTACTTCCCCCTCTCATTCTGCAAGGAGAACCTAATGGTTCCCCTGGCTTGAGCTCAGGGCTAAATCCTGAAGTAGTTCTGAAAGCTGGAGATGCAAAGGACTTTAAGTGGCTGCTGCCCTGCAAGTGTTAAAGACAGAGTTGGAATGAAGTAAGCTTCATAGGTTATGAATAGGATATGATCATTTCCAGTATTTCAACCCACTACCCAGTACTATTTAGAAACTGATGCAATCTTAAATCTTAACTAATATATTTTTATGAATATAAACTAGCAATCCTAGCTTTAATACTTGACTTCCCAAGTGTCTCTTATTCTCATCTGTGTTCTGGCTGTAGTCCTCCTATCCTGATGGCTCCCCAACTTCCCTTCTTCCTCCTCAGGCCTAAGGTGAACAGCCGAGCACCCTGGGTTCTTCTCCCTGACCATGGGAGCATCCAAGATAAACACACTTTTTAAGTCCCCGTTTGGGAATTATGAAACCCTGCTCTTTTTTCCTCCCCTTCCAGCTGCTGCTGACCATTTAGAAGTTACAGTTTGACTGTGTTGGTCCATTGCAGGAGGATGAAACAAGGGTGGGTTGTTCCTGTTGCCAAATTAGTACCAAGGAAGATAGGTCCTAACTTTCCAGAATTGAAGCTAGGAGTATGTTTTCCTGAAGATGTTTCAATAACAATGCCTCTCATCTATTTTTAAAATTTGAATTTATAAAGTGCTTTTATGTGTATTAATTCACTGAAGTCTGTATTAAGTTTTTTAAATGGCACAGTAGGCTCTCAATAAAAACCAGTTTAATGAATGACTATTTATAAACTGAGGCTCAGAGAAGTTTCCCAAAGCTCTACAGATGATTCTAAAACCAAACTTGAAATCAGGTCTCTGGTTCTCCTCCCGACTCCATATCCCCTTGGTCTCAAACAGAAAGAGTCTGTTACAGATGATGTTTAGTGTCTATAGAATTATTAATACCAGAACTCTGCTATACAATGGGTCAAATAGGCTTTTGAGGCCTGGCCAGAGGTCTTAACAAGAACAGATAACATTGTTTCAATGGAAAAATCAATTTTGAATTAGAGCATAATTCATCTGCAAATTGTGACAACTTGGGTATATATCCGTCTTTCCATATAGATATATAATAGAAAAATGCTTTTTAATATAATGATTTATATGTATTGATTAAAAAATCATACACACATTTCTGTTTCTAGAAATTTTGTGCTTTCTCATGGAAACATAGAGGGGAACAATAGACTCTGGAGCCTACTGGAGGGTGAAGAGTGGGAGGAGGGAGAGGATCAGAAAAAATAATGAAAACTAGGCTCAATACATGGGTGATGAAATAATCTGTACAACAGACTCCTGTGACACAAGTTTACCTATGTAACAAACCTGCGTGTGTACCTCTGAACTTAAAATAGAAGTAAAACAAAAGAAATTCTGTGCTTTCTGTGTACCTATATCTCAACAGAATGCCATGAATTGGAAAGAGTACATGATATGGTTTGGCTGTGTCTCCACCCAAATCTCAACTTGAATTGTATCTGCCTGGATTCCCATGTGTTGTGGGAGGGACCCAGAGGGAGGTAATTGAATCATGGGGGCCAGTTTTCCCATTCTATTCTAGTGATAGTGAATGAGTCTTACAAGATCTGATGAGTTTATCAGGGGTTTCCGCTTTTGCTTCTTCCTCATTTTCTCTTTCTGCCACCATGTAAGAAGTGCCTTTTGCCTCCCGCCATGATTCTAAGGCTTCCCCAGACATGTGGAACTGTAGGTTCAATTAAAACTCTTTTTCTTCCCAGTCTGGGGCATGTCCTAATCAGCAGCATGAAAACTAACTAATATAGTAAATTGGTACCAGTAGAGTGGGGCGTTGCTGAAAAGATACCCGAAAATGTGGAAGCGACTTTGGAACTGGGTAATGGGCAGAGGCTGGAACAGTTTGGAGGGCTCAGAAGAAGATAGAAAAATGTGGGAAAGTTTGGAACCTCCTAGAGAGTTGTTGAAAGGCTTCGACAAAAATTTTTATAGTGATATGAACAATAAGGTCCAGGCTGAGGTGGTCTCAGTTGAAGATGAGCACCATGTTGGGAACTGAAGCAAAGGTGACTCTTGTTATGTTTCAGCAAAGAGACTGGAGGCATTTTACCCCTGCCCTAGAGATTTGTGGAACTTTGAACTTGAAAGAGATGATTTAGGGTATCTGGCCAGAAGAAATTTCTAAGCAGCAAAGCATTCGAAAGGTGACTTGGGTGCTGTTAAAAGCATTCCATTTTAAAAGGGAAACAGAACACAAAGGTTCAGAAAATTTGCTGCCTGATGATGCAGTGGAAAAGAAAAATCCATTTTTGGGGAGAAATCCAAGCTGGCTGCAGAAATTTGAATAAGTAGCAGAGAGCCTAATGTTAATCCACAAGACCATGGGGAAAATGTCTCCAGGCCATGTCAGAAACCTTCATGGCAGCCCCTCCCATTTCAAGCCCAGAGGCTCAGGAGGAAAATGCCAGGGTCTCTGTGCTGTGTTCAGCCTAGGCATTGGTGCCCCGTGTCCCAGCTGCTCCAGCTGTGGCTGAAAGGGGCCAACATAGAGCTCAGGCTGTGGCTTCAGAGGGTGGAAGCCCCAAGCCTTAGCAGCTTCCATGTGGTGTTGGAGCCTGTGGGTACACTGAAGTCAAGAATTGAGGTTTGGGAACCTCTGCCTAAATTTCAGAAGATGTATAGTAATGCCTGGATGCCCAGGCAAAAGTTTGTGGCAGGGTCAGGGCCCTCATGGAGAACCTCTGCTAGGGCAGTGCAGAAGGGAAATGTGGGGTCGGAGCCCCCACAGAGTCCCTACTGAAGCACTGCCTAGTGGAGCTGTGAGAAGAGGGCCACCGTCCTCCAGACCCCAGAATGGCAGATCCACCAACAGCTTTTACCATATGCCTGGAAAAGCCGCAAACACTCAACGCCAGCCTGTGAAAGCAGCTGGGAGGGAGGCTGTACCCTGCAAAGCCACAGGGGCAGAGCTGCCCAAGACCATGAGAACATACTTTTTGTATCAGCGGTACCTAGATGTGAAACCTGGAGTCAAAGGAGATTATTTTGTAGCTTTAAAATTTGACTGCCCTGCTGGATTTTGGACTTGCATAGGCCCTGTAACCCCTTTGTTTTGGACAATTTCTCCCATATAGAACGGCTGTATTTACCCATACCTATATCCCCATGGTATCTAGGAAGTAACTAGCTTGCTTTTGATTTTACACCTTCATAGGCAGAAGGGACTTGTCTTGTCTCAGATAATACTTTGAAACTTTGAATTTTGGGTTAATGCTGAAATGAGTTAAGACTTTGGGGGACTGTAGGGAAGGCATAATTGGTTTTGAAATGTGAGGACATGAGATTCAGAGGAGCTGGGGCAGAATGATACGGTTTGGCTGTGTCCCCACCCAAATCTCAACTTGAATTGTATCTTCCTGGATTCCCATGTGTTGTGGGAGGCACGCAGGGGGAGGTAATTGAATCATGGGGGCCAGTCTTTCCCATGCTATTCTCGTGATAGTAATGTGTCCAGAATTGGTGGGTTCTTGGTCTCACTGACTTCAAGAATGAAGCCGCGGACCCTCGCGGTGAGTGTTACAGCTCTTAAGGTGGCGCGTCTGGAGTTTGTTCCTTCTGATGTTCGGATGTGTTAGGAGTTTCTTCCTTCTGGTGGGTTCATGGTCTCGCTGGCTCGGGAGTGAAGCTGCAGACCTTCGCGGTGAGTGTTACAGCTCTTAAGGCAGCGCGTCTGGAGTTGTTCGTTCCTCCCGGTGGGCTTGTGGTCTCGCTGGCTTCAGGAGTGAAGCTGCAGACCTTCGTGGTGAGTGTTACAGCTCATAAAAGCAGCGTGGACCCAAAGAGTGAGCAGTAGCAAGATTTATTGCAAAGAGCGAAAGAACAAAGCTTCCACAGTGTGGAAAGGGACCCGAGCCAGTTGCCACTGCTGGCTCGGGCAGCCTGCTTTTATTCTCTTATCTGGCCCCACCCATGTCCTGCTGATTGGTAGAGCCGAGTGGTCTGTTTTGACAGGGTGCTGATGGGTGCGTTTACAATCCCTGAGCTAGACACAAAGGTTCTCCACATCCCCACCAGATTAGATTAGCTAGATACAGAGTGTGGACACAAAGGTTCTCCAAGGCCCCACCAGAGTAGCTAGATACAGAGTGTCGATTGGTGCATTCACAAACCCTGAGCTAGACACTGGGTGCTGATTGGTGTGTTTACAAACCTTGAGCTAGATACAGAGTGCCGATTGGTGTATTTACAATCCCTGGACTAGACATAAAGGTTCTCCAAGGTCCCACCAGAGTAGCTAGATACAGAGTGTCCATTGGTGCATTCACAAACCCTGAGCTAGACACGGGGTGCTTATTGGTGTATTTACAATCCCTGAGCTAGACATAAAGGTTCTCCACGTCCCCACCAGACTCAGGAGCCCAGCTGGCTTCACCCAGTGGATCCTGCACCGGGGCTGCAGGTGGAGCTGCCTGCCAGTCCCACGCTGTGCGCCCGCACTCCTCAGCCCTTGGGTGGTCGATGGGACTGGGCGCCATGGAGCAGGGGGTGGCGTTCGTCGAGGAGGCTCGGGCCGCACAGGAGCCCACTGAGGGTGTGGGAGGCTCAGGCATGGCAGGCTGCAGGTCCCAGGCCCTGCCCCACAGGAAGGCAGCTAAGGCCCGGCGAGAAATCAAGCGCAGCGCCGGTGGGCTGGCACTGCTGGGGGACCCAGTACGCCCTCCGCAGCCTCTGGCCCGGGTGCTAAGCCCCTCATTGCCCAGGGCCGGCAGGGCCGGCCCGCTGCTCCGAGTGCGGGGCCCGCCAAGCCCACGCCCACCCAGAACTCCAGCTGACCTGCGCGCGCAGCCCTGGTTCCCGCTCGCGCCTCTCCCTCCGCACCTCCCTGCAAGCTGAGGGAGCAGGCTCCGGCCTTGGCCAGCCCAGAAAGGGGCTCCCACAGTGCAGCGGTGGGCTGCAGGGCTCCACAAGTGCCGCCAAAGTGGGATCCCAGGCAGAGGAGGCGCCCAGAGCGAGCGAGCGAGGGCTGTGAGGACTGCCAGCACGCTGTCACCTCTCAGTAATGAGTCTCACACGATGTGATGGGTTTATCAGGGATTTCTGATTTTGCTTTCTCCTCATTTTCTCTAGTTGCCACCATGTAAGAAGTGCCTTTCACCTCCGGCTGTGATTCTGAGGCCTCCCCAGCCATGTAGAACTGTAAGTCCAATTAAATCTCCTTTTCTTCCCAGTCTTGGGTATGTCTTCATCAGCATGTGAAAATGAACTAATACAGTACATGTTTGTGGATGGCCTTGAGGGCCAGATTCTATAACTTGCTGATGATTATTAACCTATATTTCTCTGGCTTTATGGGGAACATGTCTGAATCTCGGCATGTCAGTAGGAGATGGAATGCTTTATTGAATTATACTCTCAAAATCTAGATAATTTAATACAGTTTCTTGAGTGTGGCACACCCCACTCCAATTTTGTGAATTAATGCTGTAGTGAGTCATTGTTATTAAGGTGTGTATTTCACCCCACAGAAGTGTTGGGTCATGGAAAAAGAAAGGGAATATTATTATAGTAAAATGGTTTTTGAGCAAGGGAATGGCATGAAGCTCAGGGCATTATATTTGATAAGTATTTCTTGAATGAATGAAAGAATAAAAATTGCTTTAAGAAAATTTATCTAGCAGCAGTGAGCAGAATGGTCTGGTGGAAAGAAGCTAGATATTAAAAGGCTATTCAAAAGAATTGATGCAAGAAGGTAATGTGACAATAAGAAGGAAGAATGGGGCTATGAGAAATATATGAAGGAAAGCAACAGAACCTGGTAACAAGAAAAGGGAGAAGTCAAAGATGTTATGAAAAGTCTTGTTATAGGTAAGAGAAAAACACTTTTTCAAGACATCTTTAAGTATTTTTAGCTTAAGGTGAGAATTGGAGATATAACCACAATTTCAAGTTAGAAATTCCTGGCCTTGCCACACACAAAGAGATAAATTCAGTAGTTGACACTATGGAAAAGGCCTGTATGAAAGGGTGTACTAGATCTGGTTATTGGTTCACTATTGATACCTCCTTTGAAACAGTGCCCACTAAAAATTGTGTTATGGATAGTACTAAGAATAGTCCCCTTATTCAACAATTATTTATTACTGTGCTCATTCCTATCTCAGGGTCTTTTTATTTTATGTTGGCCTGGCTTGCAATGCTCCTTCCTTGGAAGATTTTATGGGTCACTCCTTACTTCATTCTCTGCTCAAATGCCATGGTCAGACAGACCTTACTTTACCATCTGTAGTCAGTCTCTAATCTTATATTCTGCTGTATTTTTCTCCATTGCACTTGTCTCTGTCTAATAATAATATATTACGTATTTATTTGTTTGCATGTCTTATTTTCTATCTTCCCTGCTAGAATGGGAGTTCTTTGAGAGCCTGGGCTTTGCTATTTTATTTACTGCTGTATTTTCAGTCAGTCTCATATTGAGCATGCAACCTAAGAATCTGGGCCTTTCTGATTGGATTAAGGGAGGACATATAATTTGGGGTGAGGGGAAACCAATGTGGGTTAAACCAATCAGATATCTGGATAATTTGAACTAAGAGATATAAGAAATGTAGTCAGATAAATTGATTAGAGTTGTAAAGTCATATAGAGTCAGGCTAAGTCCTATCATAAGAACCACATCCATGGAGAAGCTATGGCAAGGCAGAAGAATCAGCTGGTATCCCGAGAGGAGTTTGTAGCAGATGTGAAGTGAGAAACTGAGAGAAGAGCCATTGGGCCCCAGAGCAAGGGAAAAAGAGAGGTGCTACCCAAACACCTTCTGGTGGTACAGCTCAGCTATACTTCATGCATTTCTATTTCATGTCATTTTCCTGTAAGATTTCAGCACAAATTCCCTGCTTTTGAGCTTCATGGTGGGAGTTTCTCTTCCTTTGCAACAGAACATCCTTTGACATAACAATCCAATAGAACTTCCTATGGAAATGAAAATGTTCTATATCTATGTTGTCCAATATAGAAGTCACTACCCATATGTTCCCATTTAAAAATTTTTATTTAAAATTAAAAAAATATTTTATTTAAAAATTTTTAAAATTTATGTTTTTAAAATTTATTTATTTTAAATTTAAATTTAAATTTTTAAAAAGTTTTTTATTTTTGTGGGTACATAGTAGGCATATATATTTATGGGGTACATAAGATGTTTTAAACACTTGAAATGTGATTCATGTGCTTGAGAAACTGACTCAAATTTTATGTAATCTTAATTTAAATTCAAGTATCCATATTTGGGTAGAGGCTATAATATTAGACAGCACAGTACAATGGTGATTATTATAAGGGATCAAGGACAAGAAGCATAATCAGTAAAAGACAATGAAAGGACAGGGGAAAAAAACAAGGAAAACAATGACGGTGTCACAAAACTCAAGTAGAGGGTGTTCTGCAGCACAAGTAACTACAAAAATGCTAAGATGAGTGTAGTAAAATCCCTTCGGTAACAGTGTTTTTTCTTTTTTAATGGAAGCAAATCTGATTTTAAACAGCAAGGGCTAGGTAAACAAACCAAGAAATAACCCATTCAAAGGCAAACTATCTAGCCATTACAAATAATGGAGAAAAATATTTGCGATATGAGAAGCGGTTTATAATGTATGAATATGTTAGGGAAATCCATAAAGTAGGATGGCCCCAATTTTATAACACACATATATGAGTAGATCTTTTGGTTGTGTATTTATAGGTGATTTGGATTCTTTGGCATTTTATTAAATCTTAGAATTATCCACAAAGAGCATAGATTTTTTTATAATCAGAAATAAAGGAATAAATGATGTGCTTAGCACAATAAAATGGCTGCATCTCTTTATCTTTCCTTATGAATGAAAGTGACAGCAAATACAGCTACTAAGAATTAATGACTCTACATTTCTAAAGTTAGTAAGACTTTATCTCATTTTTCTCCCAACCCCACTGGACACATTTTGAGATATCTTACTTTATAGTTGTTAACTGCAATTATAGATAGGCTGGCAGTACAGCAGAAGTTGATGAAACTTCTTAGTAGAAGGCAGAAGAAGATCTTTTTGGTGAATTAATCTACATTTTCCACAGTCAAAAGACCAGGAATGAAGTAATAGCTGCTTGGAATCCTTTCTTGTCTTGTGAGACTGGATTCCTAGGATGCTTCAGCCTAAAGCTGTATTTTGGAGACCACTAGATGGCTCTCTGTGTCTGTGGCCAGGTGAAGGCACACTAGATAAATTCGGATCTAGATTTATCATTCATGTTCAGGTCACATTGAAGCATTTCTTTATGTGTATAACACAATGTGTGAAAAGACTCAAATTAACTCCTCCTGTATCAGCAACACAATAACATCTCTCTGTGTGTGGATCTGTGTATATATTTGCTCCCATTATTACATTTACAATATATAGAAGCAAATTATTTGTTTAAAGGAATCTCTGTTTAAGAATGTCTGGTTGGGACTGAAAAAATAGCACTCCACAACTAAGCCAGATTGTGATTCTGTTAGACAAAGACATGCTGAATGTTGAACTTTACGAAAACAAAAACTTTTCTTTTTAATCTGGGGAGTATTAACACAACTTCTGTTTGGCTTCTGGTTGAGGCCTTCTGTCCAAAAACACCCATAGATTGCATGCAGGTTGTACTGCCATCAAAGTGCTTGCTACTGCCCCAAATGTTCAGTAAGTTCAGCTAATGACCACCCCTGGCGGTGAGGAGAGGAGTGACAACCCATTTCTAAGTTATTCCTAAGAATGTTTTTGAAAGGTACAAGTTGAGCTATTGTTTGGAACCGTAGAGACTCAGCCACTTGCAGTGTGATGAAAATATAGACTGCAAACACAAAGGAAAATCTCACCTTTTAAATAGAAATAGCATAATGCTCAAGTTTCAAAAGCCATGTCAAATCTGCATTTTCAGAAAAATTTTTAAAAATTACTTTTTTCTTTATTTCTCCTGTTCTTTGATGCCAGTGCCCAGTTAGAGTGATAACAGGGTTTTTCTTAATTGTACTCCACTGTTACTAAAATTTCAACCATTATCCTTGAAAGAATAAAAAGCATTAAATGCGACTCAGGGTTAATCTGTGTAAATGCACAGGTAGTAGTGCATGGGCACTGCTTTTATAATCAGAAAAGCAATATGCATCTAGAAAGTCCCATGAAGTTGTGTGCATCAATTTTGATATAGTCCGCATCCAGTAAAATATGGAGATTTTGCTTCATGAGGTGTCCCATTTCTGAAAGCCCTGGCCTATAGCAGTGCTACTTTCCCTTAATCTTTGGGTTAATGTAAGCCATATTGTTACTGTGATACAGATGAAGCCCGTATGAAAAAGGGGAGACTGCTGAACCTTGAATCCACGTCCAGGTAGACTCTGCCCTTTCTAACAAGAATCCCCAAATACCAACTGGGTTGTACTTAGCAGTGAGTGGAATCACCAAGCTTAACCTTTCTCGACATTTTTCTCCAGATGCAAAGTGTATAAGCTGAAATGGAACCTGCCTTCCAAGGATAAGGTGGGCCAGATCCCTTTCTATCTTTTTGTCACCTCCTCCCTGCATAAGTCTGTGTGGGCAATTGTATTCATTTCTTGTTGTTGCTGTAACAAACTACCAAGAACTTAGTGATTTAAAACAACACACACTTATTCTCTTATTACTTGTGACTAGAGGTCATAGTCTGAAATATGTTTTGCTGGGCTAAAGTCAAGGGTGGCATTCTTTCTGGAGCCTCTGAGGGGAAAACCCATTTTCTTGCCTTTGAGTTTCTAGTGACTGCCTGTATTTGTTGACTTATGGCCTCTTCTCCATCTTCAATGTGTGTCACTCCAGTCTCCGCTTCCTTTATCACATTGTCACATCGCCTTGTCCTCTGACCTTGACTTCTTCTGCCTCCTTCTTATAAGAATCCTTGTGATGACATTGAGTACACCTGGATAATCCAAGATACCCTTTCTATCTCAAGATGCTTAACATAACCACATCTTCAAAGTCCTTTTGGCCATAAAAAATAACATATTCACAAGTTTTGAGGATTCAGATTTGGAACTCTTCCAGGTACTCAGCCCTACCACACCAAAATAAGCTCACTCCTGTTTCATAAGCTCATATCTGTTGTCCTCCATCTCTTCTGCCACTTCTTTCTTTTGTTTGCTTAGATGGAAGATCAAGATTTAGAATTAAGAAATGCCACACAAACCTGAAGCCCAAGTCGTATGTCCCAACTCAATTTTTTCTAAAGACCTATGCAGCAGGGCACTGGGCATTAATGCATTTATTAATAAAATGAAACTGTCATTTCTGTTCTATTGTTCCCTGAGTTTAGTTCCTCAGAGCCTCCTATGAGAAGTTATAGCAATAGTTAGGAAAGACTTATGAGTTCCTCACTAAGACCACCTAATAGACCAAAACATGCTTCTTCTTAACCTTGATGTAACTGCTGCAAAACTCCAACCACCCTGAACCCATATAAAGGAGCAACTAGGTAAAACTGGACTTCAAAGTTCACTTCTTTGCTGACCTACTTTGCACACACTTAAATTGCGGGTACACTTCAGTGAACCAGAACTCTAAGTGGGACTTCAAAACAGCAGATTTCTTCATTTTTCTCAGGGTTATTTTGCTGGAGCTGGAAGTCCTAAGCCTGAATATTATAGACACATTGCGAATGCATAATAAGGTAGAATATTTGAGTTCTTTTTCTGATTAGTTTTTATGAATCTTGCCACGTCAACACTTTATGCTAAAAGAACAATTATCAACATCATAAGAACACACTGCTCTAGGTACATATGGTGCAGTCCTCACCATAAACTTATAAGATAATCACATTTTATGACTTAATAAATTGAAACATGGAGACATCAGGTATGTTTTCCAAGGTAGGATGTCTAAAAAGTTGTACAGCCAAGATTCTAACATAGCTCTGAACTTCTCAAAAATGTAATCTCTTAACTCCCACCTTATATTTCCTCCATCATATGTTATAATTATCTCATTTACATTATAATGGTAATAATATTTTTCTGGCTCTCCTCACAAAGTAACTGTGAGGAAAAAATTATAAAAGAGATGAGAGAGGGCTTTGATACATTTAAACATACACTACAATTTATTCTTTCTAAAATATGTATTTTCATACTGAAGTATTGAAAGTCTAGATGAGAAAGTATAAAGACAACTTATCTTTTTTCTCTTATTATTTTTTAATTCTGTAGGTAAAAATGATTATTTTTAGAAAAATAGATGCATGAATAGAGAAAAATGTAGATTTTCACCCTCTATAATCCCTGTTAAGATTTTTATAAACAAAGTTCTAGACTTCATATTTTACAGGAACAAGGTCACACTTTACATACATTTTTGTAAAATTTTTCTATCTTTCTGTGTCAATAAATATATCCTCATTTTGAATGAGTACATTGTACTCCGTTAAAAAATGATTCAATTAATTACATTTCCATCATTTTGAACATTATTATATAATATGCTTTTAATAGTCCAACCTGGAAGTAGATACTTCTCTCTTTTATGCCTTTTCTTATGGGATATTACAAAAGCTGTGATGGATCCAATCTGTTCTTTGGTTGAAGGCTGACAAATAGACGAAGTTAAGAAGGTGCTATTAGTCTGTTTTTCTTCTGGATGGCTTCTCACTTCCTACAATGCATAGTTCTTTCTATTTCTCCATATTTTGTCTATACATAGTCATTTGCTTTACAGGGCTGTTAGGAGATTATTTAAACATATTTGTGAAAAAGCCTTGAAAAACATAAATGCTGCAAAAATATAATATGATTAAAATTCTTCCTAAATCTATGCTTCAAATGAATAACGATGAGGTGTAATTCATCCTGACTGAAAAAGGAGTCATCCTGCTTAATTCTCTACCACATGAACCCTTGCAGGCTCATCTCCATTAACAAACCAGCCCTGGCCAATCAGACACCAGCCTTTCAATGTCAAAGTTTACTCCTCATGACATAATGCCAGCCAGGTCAGGGATCAACCCACTTTTTCAAGGCAGGAGATCAAATACAGTTGACAGTCTCCCTGAAAGTGCATGAATCTTACACAATTAAATAAAATATCTGAGAATTTGGCTGAGGTGTCAGGTTGAGGAAAGGAGAAGGAAATGGAGAGAGTTGGCTTACTCTTAGCTCACCTCTTCCCCATTGCTCTTTGCTCCTGTGATCTCATAGAGAAAATATCAGCAAAAGACAACTGAGAGGTTAAAAATTTCTATGAGTTTGTCATTCAAACATTCACTCAAAAAGTAATATGGCAGATGCTAAGAGATGTTCTTTCTTCTTGCCTAGTTTTATGGATTTGGCATCATATTTCTGGTGCTACATAGGTCCTCTATTCTTGTGTATATGTGGCAATAGCCAGAGCTAGCAGAAAAAAAGACAATGAGATTTCTCATCTCTATATTTACTGTTGCCACTAAAATGAGCAATACTTTCCTAAGAGAGTATACAGTTATCTAGGGCAATGGGACTCAAAGTAGCTGGTTTGTAAATTATATATCCATGATGAGATAAGGAGCTTAGGTCAGTATGAATCAACACACTGCTTTCCTTATCAAGAAAGTTTGCTATGAAAAAATTTGGATGTTTGCTTTGTGGTGTAGTTGGCGGAATAGGAGTGAGAGTGGGGTAGACTCTGTATGGTCATAATTTCCTGAATGATAGTTTGCCTATAGAAAAAACTTATGAGCAATGTGAAGGACCAACATTTCTCAAATATCTTGGGCATCTTAATGATATTTCTATGGCAGGACTTAAGGCTCTAGAAGCTGTGTTAGATGTGCCATAGGTTAAAAGTTGCTGGTAATACAGAAACAGTACTGTGGCATGTCTTCTTTTTCCAGGCAAGTGTGCAACCTACTTAGGAACCTAGTTTTTTGTTTGTTTGTTTATTTCTAAGCCCACTTTTTTTTAAGAGAAAAAAATGAGGGAGAGGGTAAAGAGGAAGGTGTAAGGGGAATGCAAACATTTTACATGTGAATCATATCTCATTTTGATTAGTAATTTCGAAAAGAAAATTAGTTGAACTTTAACACTTAAGTGATTCTTACCAGATAATGACCAACACCTCTCCACTAGTTATTTGGGTAACACTATAACTTTTCCAAAGTACTTTTACTTTCTCATTTGATTCACAACATCTTTGTCAGATTGGTAAAGTACCTTCTTTTGATCTACACTTCTGATAAGTGTAGATGCTCAGAGATAGTCACTTGCCCAAAATTACATGGCTAGTGAGAGATAGATTGGGAACATCTGCAACGAAAGAGGCAGATTGGGAACATTTTGGCCACTATTTCATATGCGTTTCATTACATTGTGCTCTTTTAACTATTGTGGTTGGAATTTGACTGGGGGGTTATTTATAAAATAAAATCTAATGGTACAAAATCCATGGTGCCTTCTGCAGCACCAGAAGATAAAACACGAGGAATTAGAAATTGGCATCAGTCTTCAGATACCTCAGCTGATTCGATCATAAATTAACTCTAAGATATAATGGTCAGACAAAATCAAGAGCAAATATATTCTTCATGGATTAAGTGATACTCTTCTGGCAAGCACAAAGTAAAGCGGGAGAGACAAACTAATTGCTCAATAAATGGTGCCTGCTAGTCTCCTTTGCTCTACTTATCTAGAAAAGCGAATACATATTGTAAGTAAATAACTAAATTAAAAAATACTTCCAAGTTAATGCCAGGTCTCTGTTCTTCAAGAGGAACCTGTAAAAGATCACTGCTTTAAAAAGTTTTGCATCACTTGACATTTAATTTGAAATTGTTTATCTTTAAGTCAGCAACAATTAGATGCGACTATCAGCTATTCATCATGAATTGCAGAATACATTTCCCCCAGAGGAGAAAGAGCTGTGATTTGCATAGAGCAAGTCAAAGAAAACCAACACAGTTGAGAGCAGATGTTTTAAAAATAAATATCCCTTACTGGTCCCCTCATGAGGTACCCCTGTGCCATGCAAAAATAGTGCTTTGTTAGCCAAATTCTAATAAATAGGCTTCAGTGCTTAGTCCTGTACTGTCAGAGAAAATGCACAATTTAAAACACTTGTATTTCCATGAAAGAAGCATATATTAATTTGTTAGTACATATCGCTCATGAAGCAGGCAAAGTTGTGGTTGGTGTATTCAACGAGAGTGTTGAAAATAGTAGTGGGATCACTTTTTTTTTTAATTAAAAAATTTTTTTAAGAGTCAGGGTCTTACTATGTCACCCAGGGTAGTCTGGAACTCTTGGGCTCAAGCAGTCCTCCTGCCTCAGCCTCCCAAGCAGCTGAGACTACATGTAGGTGCCACCATGCCTGGCTGTGCAGTCACTTTTGAATTGCATGGATTTGGATCTAAGCCAATTATATTACATCATTAACTCTGCCTAATAGAACCAATATGAAGTTAAGGTGAGGTGTATATTTTTTTTAAAAAATGTGTACTTGTCACTACTTCAGCAGGTAAACTTTAGGGAGTTAACTTTGAAGAAACTACACAAAACCTGTAGAAGAAAAAGTCATGTAGGAAGGAGAGAGAAAGAAAGTATAACTGCAGGAATTTAATTTAGGTGTAAATGGAATTAGGTTCATATTCAGCATCATTATTTGAAGGTTATAAGAATAGAATTTAGAACAAAGAAGTAATCATTTTAATAAAATGGGTTAGCCTCAAGTGGGGTTTGAGTGTTGTAGTGAAGTCAGAATTCTTTTGATGGAAAACTGCTTTGACCCCATCCTATGTTTAATGTTTTATTAAGCTTTTATTATGCAGTTATAATATACATATGTTTTCCAAAAGTATGTAGTTAACTAACTTACTTTTAATGAATTTCCCTACTTGAAAGAAGCTGATCCCCTAGAAGGTGATGATCTTATGTGATTATCTTATTTTGAATACATAGTGTATTGAAATAAAACTATTATGCTTTTCTCAGGGGTTTGTCCATCTCAGTGGCAGCTCTTTCCATTTAAGAGTTGTGGCAGGATGTTACCAAAACTATTGCTCATTAATTAAAACCTTCAGATGAATGTAATCAGCAGCCCAAAATAAAGTGAGAGAAAACAGCTGTTGCTGCTCTTGCTATGAAAGCAATTTTGATTTAAGTAAGAGACACAATTTTATTTTACTTGGTTGTGTGAAAAAGTCCACTTTCTTCTCGAATCCTTTATTCAGGGAGTGGCACACAACCAACAAATTAGGTCACTGGGCAGTAGACTCCGAGGATGGTGGCTAGATTAAGTCAATTTTATTTAATGTGTAAAATGAGTTTGACATCCTTTTATATATAGAAAGTTTTTAAAAATCACATCACTGCATTAGAGGAAGGTCCACTTTTCCAGAGAAGCAAGGGAAAGATCAGTTATTGTTTTCACTGAAAGCAGATTACGGTCATCTTAAAATTATATATTACAGTGACTTGGCATTGATCAGAACATTCTTAATACAGAATATTATAGAATGACATTTAAATGAGATACCAAAAGTAAGACAAATTAGATATGTTTGAATTTAAAGTAAAAAGGGAGATGAAAGAAAATGTAGTCAGTTGAACAAACTAGATCTGAGTTAATATAATAATCTCTCCCTTTCAAGATGTGTGCCATGAAGGTAACAGTGACAACAGTGATTTAAAATATGTTTCTGAGTTGAAATACAGAAACAAATGTGCTTGACAGCGTATTTATTTTATTGTCAGCTTGTCCCTGGAGGACTTTATCCACCCCCCACCCCGGTCTTAGAGCTTTGAAGTTTACAGATTCTGGATTCTGCTTCATGGTTTTTCTGGTCCCCTTGTTGTAATGTGCTGTATGCTGCACACATCCGTTCTAGAACACAACTTCCCTTCTAACTAAGGAACACGAATTTTGGTGAAAAATTCTTGCTACTTAAGACTCTTGCCAAACAATCTACAAATGAAAAGGAGTCTGGAGACTGTGACCACTATTGGCCACTTACGAAGTATTAGGTAATAAAGAAGCAATGATAAGAAGCAAGTGATGCTGACTCCTGCATTTTGTTAGATCTGATTCTGCATGTATATTAATAATGATGCACCCTATGGATGCAATTTCATGTTTATAACACTTTGGTCATTGGCAGCATTGTGTATCTGTGTTTTCCATGCCTTCCCATCTGCTGCCTACACCATTCAGATTCAGGTGACAGAAATATTTTATATAAAAGTTAATTAGCCTGCACTCTACAGATCAAATCTCTGTAGTTCGGCTAGGAATCTTCTGGGCAACTGCTGAATATGGCTTGTACTCAACCTTCCTAAGATTAAAAATGTAAGATTTATTTTCTTCTAGAAAAAGAAATCTTTAGTACTCCCTTGACAATTTATGCATAGATTCTATCAAACTTTTCATTGTACATTGCCCTTACTCATTTTAGTTTTTATCTCGGCACATATATCAGAAGTGGAAGAAGATTGGAAATACAAATTTTTCCAGCTGCAAGAGTTGAGTGAAAATGATGTAGAGTCAGAAATCCTCCAGAATGTGGACTTTTTTACTAGTACACTGACCAATGTTGATCAAGTCCCCAGACTTTTCTCAGTTTCTCAGTCGTTAAAATGGGCCCATGCCAATTACCTATTTGCTTCATAGATACTTTGTGCAAGGCTTAACACAGCTTGAGATTATGATAAAAGTAACATATAAAAGGCAGAAAACTCATTACTAAATAAGGACTCTGTCTTGTTCTTAAAGATTCATCTCCTCATTATTACTTGTCAACGTTAAGTTCACAAATAGCTCTTTCATTGAAAATATGTTTAGCTTTTTTAATCAATAAGAAACTAAATCATTTAATTCCTTTTTTTTTTTAATTCTTAGATGATGGGGAGAGAAATGGGCTGAACACAGCAACTGAATACCAGCCTCTGAGTCCACATTACATAGAAGGAAAGTAGGGACAAAGAAACAATCCCCAAATAAATCTCCCCGTCCATCTTTACACTTTTATATATTTCTAATGCTTTCCAATATCCGAGACTAATTGACCACTCTTCTCTACCTATGGCTTCTGTACTAGGTGCAGATTTTCTATTTACCCAGAGGAATTCAGAGCGATGTGCTTTCTTCCTTACACCTTTGCCTAAGGCTCAGGCACACCTTCTGAAGAAGTCAGAGAGAGCAGATGCTGCTTTTCCGACACATGCTGTCAGAGTTGCTCTTGGGAGTGTGACACCTAGCCAGGAGTCAGGGATACCCCACCCCCATACCCTGCTCTTGTAGTTCTTCAGAACCTTCACCGCTCTCCACGGTCCTGAACCTCGACTTCTACTTCCCGTCGGGCATCTACTAGATTTCTCCCAGCCGGTCAAAATATGATTTTCTCTCATATTCTCCCCACTTCTTTCCTTCCAGCCGCGACCTCACTGCGCGTTTTATTTCCATCCGCGCTTTAAATATTTTATTCTACTTCTACTAAGCTCCTTCTACCTACCACCTACGAACATGGCCCAATCGTTAAGCAATATCAAAGTTATAAAGTAACAACTCCCCTCAGACTTTACCAAGCCGTTTTCTCTCCCCTCATGCAATGGCCCCGGCCCCCAGCAGCGCCCATCTCCACTCCACGCACCAGGCTCCTCTCACCTGACTCTCCCGTGGAAACTCGTGGCGCACGATGCTGATCACTGGAATGTGCAGGACTAAGCTGACCAAGTCGAGCTCCATCATTTCGCCCTGGCTCTGGGGGAAGGCGAGCAGCGCCGACACCCCTTGCACCACCACGGTATGGCACACACTTTGCAGGAAGGAGAAAGGGTCACTGCTCCATGGCGAACTAGGGGAGGAGAAGGGCAAAAGTGGCAGATCGCCCAGGCCTGCCTCGATGGCCATCACTACTTCCAAAGACAGGTTGTAGGGTAGCAGCCCTTCCACGCGGTTCAGGTTGTCCACGGCAAATAGGAGGGCGTCCCGTGGCCACAGGGCCTCCGCCCTGGCGCCCTCCCCGGGCTTACGGGAGCCCGGCGGCCCCCGGCCATGCAGGGTGCTCCCCAACCAGCGTGCGCCCGGCGAGGGCGCCGGGGACCGCCTAGTCCCTGGCTCCGGCTCATCCCTCTGGGCTCCTGCTCGGCTGTCGTCCGGAGCGCGGCTGGCCGCGCGGGGGGCGGTGGTCCAGGGCTGCAAGTGCACCGCGCCCACCCTCACCGCGTGCCCGATGCGCTTGAGGATCTGGCAGGGCTGCGGGTGCGAGGAGGAGCTGGGCACCCCGGCCAGCACCAGTGCGCAGGGCGGCGGCAACAGCAGACAGACCCTGCTCAGCAGCCACCACAAACTCAGTCTCCTCATTACTGAGACCCGCAGGGAGAAAGCGCGCCCCCTCCTGCGCCCGGCTCGCCCCTCTGCAGCCGCTGCCTGAGGTCTCCGCCTCCAGGTCCCGCGCGCAGCTTCACTCCACTCGGTGAAGCGGTCCCAGGAGCTGGAGCGGTCTCTAGGCCATGCAAGTTGGAGCGTAGCGCGCCTCCGGCAGTCTCAGATCCCGCTCCCAGGTCCCTCCGCCTGGCATCCTCTGCCCGCCCGGTCACTGCGCTGAGCAGGCAGGCGGGCGGGCCGGCGCCTGTCACCCGCAGCTGGAGCGCCCGTTCCCTGCCCGCCCCATCTGCAGGGCGCCTCGGGCACTGCGTCCGGCCCCGCGAGGCGGCCGGGATGAGAAGCAGCCGGAGTTCCTCGGGGGCAGCAGTGACAGAGGAGCGACGCGCTCTCGCCTGGATTCTTTTCCTTTTCTGCCCAGGCGAGACCCACTTATTTCCTGGGGTCGCGTTGGAGAGGGCTTTCACGCCCGGGGTGCGGAAAAGAAGCCAAATCCACCTTCCTCCACTGTTGGCCACCCTCCTGCAGGCTCCCCCAGCGCCGACTTCATTTTCTCTCTTCTCTCGCTACTTCCTCTCTGCCTTTCTTTCGTTATTTTTCCACCGAGTCGCCACCGCCGCTTGCTTCCTCGGAGGAGCAACGCGACTGGCCAGCAAAGGGTGGCTCTGCTCCGAGCGCCAAAGTTCTCCCCGCCTCAGCCGGCGCCTCCCTGTTGCTGAGCCCTGGCGCCTGCCTGTCGCTTGGCTGCGCTAAACGCCCACTGTTGGTGAGATTCCCGAGTGGCACATCCCGCGCCCCTGGAAAGTCCTCTCCCCTCAAAGGCTGGGCGTCATAGTTTGCAAAATTCCCTAAAACCTAAGAAGGAAAATAGGACTATGAGCCGGTGAGAATTCTGAATTCAGAGTCGCACCTGAGGGATCTGAAATTCGGTGGTTCACTGAAATAGGTTCAAAGAGGCTGTGACTTAACGAGCTTCTGGATGTGTCGCTTTTAAGGTTTTTCTAGCTAAGGGTATTAAAGTAAGAATTATTTACACATTTTTATCTCCTCAGCTTCTTTCTTTCTGGCATGTGAGCCTTTGCATTTTTTTTTTAAAGAATCCCTGTTTTTAGGTTCTCAGAATTAAAACAAAGTGAATTCAAAGCAATTTTTTCAGTTCAAGAAATTAAAGAGTTTCAAAATACTTTTAGAGTTTAAAATGCAGTCAACAGCAGTTCCCAGTTTAGATCAAGAGTCCCCAGATCACAGTTTGTACTAAGTTATTTCATTTGTATGGTAATACAGTGAAGTCAACGTGTTGTGATCTAATCTTTTCCTCCATGATTTGAATAATCTGAAACTAGAAGGTAAGGAAAGAGTTAAGGGCAGGCCTGTGGTTTGCACATATACAGTAGATTAATTTTATTTTATCCCACAGTATCGTTTAGAAGGAGGGTAGGAGAGATCCATGGGGTGGAGCAAGCACTGGGGATCAGCCTTTCTGAGTCTAATACTACTTCATGACCATGACCTTGGCAACTTATTTCACCCGACCTTGCCCTGCTGTTTGGATCTGCTAAATTGTTATGCAAATACAGCTGGCTTTTAGCTCTGGAGGGTTGTTTTGATTCATGAGCTAAAGTTTCCATCATGTTTTAAATCCTGGGAAGAAGAGACTCTAGTTAAGTAAAAATCCCAAGAAGCTTGCAAAGTGAATGCTGTTTTCCCCAGCCCAGATCTTTAAAGGTATCTCAGAACAAATTTACCAGACATTCGGCATCGTTTTTGCAAGACTGGGTTGCTAGAGAAGAAAAGTCTCCCATGAGAAAAAAAGTGAAAATCATAGTAGTGGGCTGAATGAGGAGGGAAAGAAACCCTCCTGAAGCCTGAGAGAACATCCCATGAATGGAGAAAAGCTGCCTCTAGTGTGCTGGAAATTCCCCCTTGATCCACAGGATTCCACTGATTGAGATCTGAATAATAAAAGTGTAGAAGTCTGAGGTCCTTGCATTGCAGGAAGATTGGGTATCTACTAATTGTGTAGTAAGGAGGTATATTTGTCTGTACTCGAGTGTGTGTTTTGAAGAATATAATGTATAACTTTCTAGGTTATGACCATGCTTAGTCCTTGTACTTTTAGTCCTTGGCATTACACTTATGTTCAGATCAGGTTCTCAAGAAAAACATGATGATGGAGAATAGTTTGATCTGATCATTAATAGCATCCTAGAATCACTCTATATGCATTAGGTTTTTCACAAGTTCATGACTGCCTTGAGGGAATAACTGAACTGCTCTTACACAGAAGACCTTCCCAAGTTTCTGAGGATAATACTGCACCAGGTCGTGATAAAACTCTACTTAAACCTGGTGAATACTGAGTGAACAATGAAGAATGGCTCTCCCTTCTTGGGCTTCCTTTTGTTTCTTTCCGGGCTTTCCCATTATAATTCACTGGTGTCCTTCCTGTTTTCCTTTTGCTGCTTGGTTTTCTTTGTCCATATCATGGTGGTCTGAGCATATCTGACAAAATTGTTCTCTCTCCTTTCCCCAAATCTTCTTTTTCCTTTTCCCTTTCTCCTTCTTGTCCACCTTTTTCATGTGTCAAGGGTCATCATTTTCAAAGTTCACTTAAATTCAACAACCAATTATTAAGCTCCTAGTATGTGTCAATCATTGTTGTAGGACCATCCTGGAAACAGATGAATAAACTCTAGAAAAGTTGAGTTTTCTCCTTTCCACAACATCACATAGTCAATAAGTGAACAAAATGCTAACATAGAGCTTATATTCTAGTGTGAAAGAGACAATAAAATATACAAATAAGTAAATAAATGTAGGGTATGTTAGTTTGTGCTAAGTGGAAAAAGAAAGCAGTGTAGAGGAAGTATTAGGAAGAGGTTGGGTTGTAATTTTAGGTGAGAAAGCCAGGGAAGACCTCTCGGAGAAGACAGCTTTTGAATAAAGATGTAAAGGGAGGTAAGGGAGTGATTCATGTGAATACTCTAGGCAAGAATTCCCAAGCAGGGGAAACTACATGCCAAGGCCCCGAGTGTTTCTGGAAGGTTTAAAGAATAATGAGGGGTCTGGAGTGGCCGGAGCAAAATGATCCAGGGTGAAAGTGGTGGCAGGTCAGGTCAGAGAGGCAATGAAGAGGTGGCAGACAATGTAAGCAAATGAACTTTGGCATCTACTCTGAATGAGATGAGAAGGCATGAAGGCAGGGACATTGGGCAGAAGAGTGATAGAATTAATACTTTAACGGGATCGCTACAGTTGTTTTGTTACTGATAGATGAACAGTGGTTAAGAGTGGAGGGCAGAAGAGTGATAGAATTAATACTTTAACGGGATCGCTACAGTTGTTTTGTTACTGATAGATGAACAGTGGTTAAGAGTGGACGCCAGAAGATGAGAAAAGGAGATGAGGCTATTGCAATAAGCCACATGAAAAATAACACTACTGTCAAATCATAGAAATCAACCTCAATAGGTTTGTGTGATCATCCCCATTCTAAAGAAAAGGACATTGAATTTGAGAAAAGTTGAGTTATCTGCACAAAATCATTAGATAGTGAGTAGCATTGTGGCTTCAATATTTTAAGTTCTTCCCAGCTGTGTGGTTGGTAGCTAAAATCAGTCAAATTTCAAAATTGGCTTACTCAGAGATGAAGCTTTTTAAAAATTATTATCTGACTCAGAATGAGAACTACTGATCTAAGAACCCATGTTGGAGAGTCAAACCAGAACAAATCCAAATGCTCGCAATTTAACATGTGCTTTTGTTCACATCTGTGTTTTCTGGTACCAGCAATGGATGGACTAAAAGCTGAGATATATTGCTATGGTGGTAGCCAAGGAAAGGCTACAGTAAAGGATGCTGTGGGAATTAGGAGTTAGATTCTCTTTTCAGTATTGTTTCGCCTATGGATATGACATTTAACCTCTTACAGCTGAAGATTCCTCCTCTGAACTGTGGTTGTGGCGACAGATCTTAACAGTTGTCTGTATAGATGCAACAGTATGCAGCCTCCTGTGAATCTTTTCAAGTTCCACGGGAATGGGAGGCTTCTGGTGAGTCTGGAAAACTATCTTGTGTTTTTTCCTATACCTTGACTTATTACAAGTTGCATTCACATCTATCTTTGTTTTTGTAAATGGCCATAATATTAAATGGCATGTCCCCAATTCTGGGTCTCCCCCTTTTTTTTTTTTTGCAATAGTAATTATGTAGATTTTTATCAATATTCAGATGAAAAATGTGTTCTCCCCTAGCTAGTGCATATCCAGAGTCTCAAATTATGCTGTCTTCCACATTGGCTCCTTTGTTTCTATTGCCAAGGACCTTGTTGTCATGTGAATCTTCCTGGATAAAAGCAAACAAACAAAAAATATATGGAGCTCTTAGAGAATCTATGGTAGCAGAATTTTAGAAGGGAATGAATCTAGAAAAAAATTAGGTCAGTTTAGGGGAGCAGACCCTGAGGGCTCATCTGTCCAAAGCCTAATAATTTTTTCTCATTCCCTCAATTAAAAATAAGCCTATATTCACTCAATACTTTGTAACACTGTTCTACATTCTACTAATTAGGCATTAATTTTGGCAGCAATTATTCTCTTTTAAAAATGCAAATAACTCTCATGATTTTGGGACTATCAGTGAGTCACAGATTAGTATAAATTATTTTATCCTGATTGGTGTAAAATTAATATCCTGTTGGGATTTTTGGGGGGAAGAGAAGGGAAAGAAGTTTATTTTGCATTATAAAGGATTTTGGGAACACAAGAGATCTTAAGGAAGAATTTCAGAAGGTGTGCAACAAATCTTCATTACTCTAGAGCTTTTATCTTAAGTAACTTCTACATGCCAGGCACATTGTATATAGGATCCAGGTGAAACTTCCCTGAATAATTTCTAGGCAGACTGAGAAACTGGAAACAGGAAAAAAGGGACCTTAGAAACTAAGGAAATAGGGTGACAAAGAGGAAGGAAAAATCTAGTCTGTTTTGTCCAATTCAAAATATTGCCTATGCTTTGACCTTATGCTGGAAAACACAAAGGATACTGTCTTTTCTTTTGCATCACATAATCCCCTACACCCAAGAAACCAAATTCAGGCCAGGGCTATTACCTATCTGTAAATTAGGAACTGCCAATAGTTGTTAACCTTTTAGCTATGAAAAAGCACATTATGGTATCCTTAATCTACTTATTGTCAGGGGAGTCAGTCATCAGCTGTGACAAGTGCTTGGCCTTTTCAACATCCACCAGGATTATTAGCTGAGTGTTTGGATTTCCTGATTTCCTTTCTAAACCACATACTAAAGGGAACTCAAATAGAGATTGGAGAAGCTAATATGGCAGTCTCTCTCAATCACTCTCTTCTTCTGTGTGTGATAATCATTTCAATTTAGTGTTTATCCAAATGATCTATGGAATAAAACTTGGCCCATCACAGACTGGGACATTTTTAAGGACTTTTTTGTGCTTAATTTGCAGAACTAGTTTTATAACTGCAGCCAAAAGAATTTGGAAATTTTCTAAAAGCTTATTTGCCTTCATGGATCTTTTATGCCTTGCATCTGTAAAAAAATTTAGTCTACAGAAACATAGTTTTTATTCCTTTAGAAAGAGACTTCAAGAAAGACTTTCAGATGATATTCAAGAATTATGCAGTCTTTATTATTCTAGAGCTTTTATCTTGAGTGACATCCGTGCCAGGTACTTGGCATACATGATTTCTTAATTTCATGAATAGACAGCTCTCCTTATTTTATAGATGATGAAACTGAGGTTGGTGAGGTCAATTCATTTGCTGAGAAATGGGATGCAAACCCAGATTTTATATTCTCTCTTCAAAGTTCATGCTTTTTTCATCTCTACTTCCAGCATGAATGGAGCCATTATGTCGGTCTTGGCTGACTGTAGAACCATTATCTGATGAGTGTACAGGGATAAACATAATTACAAAGTTATTTGATTATTTATTACTTATCAGAGTATACAAATGAAAACTCACAGTTATAATATTTAAGATGATCTCAGAAAATGTTTTCCTTATTGTTTAATAATACAAATAGGCATGAATCATCATCATTTTCTATTTTCTTATAGGGCCACAAAACATACAGCCAGATGTCATTTGTTCATTTCATCTGTGATGGCTCCTACCTTGGCTACAGTTTAATGTCATTGACAATATGATCTCATAATTTATTATTTTCCTTAGGGTCTCTGTGCAGCAACCACATACTCAGGATATGAAGAAATATTTTAATATGTGAAAATCTGCATGATTTGTGATAGTGCTTCTGGAATGTTCTCACTGGAAAAAGTTCAATTCTAGGGGAGCCCTTACTCTCTGTAAGGTGGACTGAAGCCTCTTATTTACATACTCTAATTGACAGACTTTTATCTGTATCAAAGGATTGAAGAGTTTGCATGGTATAAGCTAGTTTACTCAAAAATGAGCTTGGACATACTTTATATCATGAAGTGTGAGCTTTTGCTAAACTGACTTGCCATTTCTAGGTGCTGGAAAAAAATCTCATGGGTATGCTGTATCTTCTGGGAACTAAGCCACTCTGAAATGAGAGCTAGTCATCTAGTTATTGTTGTTGAAGGAGAAATGACCTTTTTCTGAATTTGAAATCCCATCAAAAAACCCTGTACCTTTTTCATTTGGGGTGCTATCATTGGGTTAAAAAACCCATAACCCCAACAGTACTATCATTGCAGCATACACAGTGGTGAGCAGACTGAAGAAGACTGAAACAACAGCAGTAGTGATTAGCTTATGACCACATGGAACTCAACCAAGAACTCAATGGGAAAACATTTTCATCCGTTAAAAAACATACTGGTGTAATGAGATAGATTTGGAAGAGGCAGGATGTAAGTAATAATAATTACTGTCTTCTGAGATGGGCTGACACCTCTCTTGAAGAGCTTAATACATTTTTGCAGATTTCTTTCTTATTCTCTCTCAGGTAAGAAGAGGGTAGACATATTAATCTATTTATGTAGTTTTAAACCAATTATTAATAGATGGTACCTGAGACAAAGTCAATAAATGGATACCCCAAGTTTCCACAGATGCAGAACTTAAATTTCCTCCCAGTCAAAACCGGGAGGCAATCTTTACTATTGCTGCTCCTGCTGCTGCTAATACTACTGCTACTACTACTAGAGAAGTGGGTACTGTGTATTCTGGTGTTTCTTCTTTGATCTGCTCTCAGGCAAGATCCAAGTCTGGTTCTGACATTTAATGCTGTTAAGTTGGTGGCTGAGCTTTTCTGGTAATAAAAACACTGACTGTCCATTTGTTTATAATGGCCATATCTGCTTGAATCTTCATTCATGCTTTCTAACTGGGATATTTGCAATTTCCTCCTGCCTTGGTATGTTTTTTTTCCTGAAGTTCTTCTTCTGGTTGGTGACACAGTCATGTTTCTGTGGAGTTTCAAAAATGGTCTTTAGCAAAAGCAATCTTCTTTTTTCTATTGTACCAGCAATTCAATCTTTCTCTTTAAGTCTCCCTACTAGCTCCCTGCTGCTTTCTAAATCAAGCTGTGATTTTCTGGGTTTATCAGCCTCTCTATCATGGGGTTTAAATTTGCTATTAAAGATTTTTTTAAAACTGATGCCAAAAGTCACCTTCACTCCAAAAGTGGGGGACCAGAAATAAGTATAAAGCAACATCCACCGTTGGTACGGGCACAGATAGGTGTATGGGATGGGTACGGGAAGTTGCCTACAGCATTTTTTCCTTTACATACAGTTTTCAAGAGGCTAACAATGTCTATAGGCTCTGTAGATATCATTTTATACTGATGATGCTAATGCTAACAAGTCTTGTTTGTTTTTATAGCCAGAGAATATGGTTTTAAGAAATAAAACTAGCGAATATGACCTTTAGCCGTATTTTTCACAAGAGCAGAAATTATGATGATAATGATAAGATTACGTGAAATCCTATGAGTATATTAGGAAAGGCATGAGCAATGTTTTCACTTCAAGATAATGAAAAATGTGCCATATGTATAATAACATGTAATTTAGCAAAATGTGTATGTTGAATTATTAGCCTCACGTCTTCATTCCTCTGTAATAGTATAATCTTATGCTAGGTGGGGTGTATGTCCCCTGTTTTTGAGTTGAAGATTGGTCAATGAATATTACTTTGACCAATAAGATTTTAGTGGACATGATGCAAACAAAGACTTGAAATGTACTTGCACAGCTGGGCTTTGTTTCTTGAGCCCCTCCCTTGCATTCAAAGAACATTCTTTGGATAGCTGCTAGTCCAAGGACCCTGAGAGACATGTAAATAGACCTGGACCCAACTGCAGCTTAGATCCAAGTCAAACTGACCTTAGTGGACAACGGGCTGGTAAGCAAGAAATAAATGCTGTTTTACATCCCCAATATTTTGTGGTTCTCTATTATGCAGCAAAGTGACTGATCTACATGTGTAAATCTATGGGGAAAAGCTTTAATTAGATGCATTCTGTTCACTTTCAGGAGAAATAGTCCAAAGATAAATCAGAGACTTGGGGGTTAAGAAAAAATCTTCATATCATTCTATGACATATTCTAGATGGCCCATGTGCAGTCCAAGCACTTATATTTATATCTATAACCTTATACAGTGCAGATTCATGATCTTTGTATGACCCAACACAGTGGAGATCTTGAACCATCAAGAAATGAACATTCTCAGCATGTTGTATTTATTAAGAATAATTCCATACATTCATATAGTGCCTAGAGTAAGTGGTATTTAGCTTAGAATAAACACATCCAGTCACAAGATAATCTTAAAATGAAAATCCTTTATTTGTATCTTTCAAATAGCACAAAGAAAAATACATGTATCACAGTAATTTAAAAATATTTTTCCTCTTTCTCTCATGCATTTTCTTTACTCATTACAACTGCTTTTACATTTTTTTTTTCATTCTAAACTTTACTTATAATCTTCAAACCTTTCCCTGTTTAAAGATTTCCCTAGCCGTAGCCTGTGGCCTCCCAGTCTTTCTCTGTCTCTAGCTTTCTTCCTGATTCTGCATAACAAACCTCAGGAGAATGGATTGAATTCAGTTGACAGGAGACTGAGGACTTCAAGCCAGGATCTTCTTTAGTATCTTGGGTTAGGATGGAGGCTGAGAACACGCATAATTTAATAACTGTTGACACATCACTTGTGGAGACTAAATCAGCTCTGTGTTAGGAAGATGATAGATGTTTGGTATAGAACTCAGAAATAAATAAAAAGGTCCCTGCTTGGAAGCCTCACTAGTGCTGGAAAATTTTATCATTCCAACAGGAATAAAGGAATAAGGTTTGAAATGGAAGAAACATTCTTAATTGCAATTGGGTTCTTTGTATGGATGTCAAACATAAAAGAATCAATGAAAAAAAATGGTAGCTAGTCGAATATTACAGCATAGGCCAGAAATCATAAATTAGAATAATAGGATAAAATAGAAACAAAATGTACCATTAATAAAAGTATGCATAAATAAATATATATTTTCTATTTGTCATAGTAAATATAGTGGTTTTGAAATTATATAGTCCCCAAGTGGATGGCCTTTTTGGTTGCAAAAATGCCACTTTACTTCTCTGTAACTAAAATTTAATTTACCTTTCAAATGTCCATTTCTACTGATGATGGAAAACTTAAATATATAAGTGTAAAGACATTTAGTCTGTTTGGATTAAACAAATTCCTTTAGGGTTCTTTCACTCTCATTTTCCTTCATCTTTTCTGCAGTATGGAAGTGGGTTTATGAATTGTCCTTGTGTGGAAGGAAGGGAGTTGACTTTGTTGAGGTTTCTTTGTTTGCTATGGTGACTCCTGATGTGGGCCTGCACCTTCTGTTGAAACCTTAAGTACTGTATCCCCCCTATTCCAACTCCTGACTTCTCTGGGCCATTGGCTCTTTCAGTCACTTTTGCATCTCTCTAAGGGAGTGATGAGAATTTTCTGAGACTCATCCATTCCACACTGGGTAGTGTGAAACTTGAGGAAGTTGATCTTAGGCCTCAATCTAGGTGCTTCCTTGGGCCACTGTTCTAATGCTTAGGGGATTTGTGGACTTGAGGTTTCCCTACAAGGCTTTCAATCTTAAAAGCTGTGCTCTAAGTTGCTGGAGAAGAGTTCTTTCTGATGTGGGATTCTCTTAGCCTAATTGAGTATTTATGTAGTCCATCTGTTTCCCCCTTGAAAATTTCAACCCTGTAGTAGTTTTCTATTAATTGTAATAAAAAATTACTTTAACTTTAGCAGCTTAAATTAACACACATATATTACCTTATAGTTTCCATGGGTCAGGAGTCCAGGTACAGTTTACTTGGGTACTCTTCTCAGGGGGTTACCAATCAATCTGTTGGCTAGGATGTATTCTCACCTGGAGGCTCAACTGGGGAAGAATCTACTTTGAAGTTCATTCAGGTTGTTGGCAGGATGAAGTTCCTTGGTACTGTAAAAATGAGGGCCTTAGATTTTTGTTGACTGTTGGTTGCTGGCTGTCCTCAGGTCCTAGAGACCAGCAGTAGTTTCTAGACGCCACCTGGAGTTCCTTTCCATGTGGACTTTTCCAATATGGCCACTTATTTCATTAATCCCTCAAGGAGAGTCTCTATTAAGACACAGTCCTTATGTAATACATAATATAACCTAATCACAGGAGAGATATCTTACCACCTTTGCTGTAAAATGTTAATCACAGGAGTGACATCCTGTTAACTTGCTATATTCTATTGGTTAGAACCAAGTCACGGGACCTGCCTTCTCTCAAGGGCATGGACACAAGACGTGGGGATTATGGGATCCATCCTGAAGTCTATTCACCACAAAACCCAAAATGAGTTGGAGAGCTGAGCACAGTTGGAGGCCCACTGCAGAAAATGTATAGTCATACCCCCTCTAATTCTCCCTTTCCTGTTAACTGGTAATGCTTTTCTTCCCTCAGCTAACTCCTAAATCATCATGTAAACTTTTTTCAATCCATCTGTGAAAAAAATTTACAATCTTTCCAGGGGTTGGGTTCTAGATCTTTTAAGGTTTGTAGAATTCCAAAACAAATACAACAGCAAAACTTTTCTGTGTCAAGCCTGGCTCTTTAAAACATGGGCTTCAATAGTGATCACTTTTGCTGTAATTTTGCAAAAGTATACTCAGAAGCTAAAATGTCAGTGGTATGATTTTATCCTCCTTGTTCTCTCTTAAATAATAAAACTTATCTCCATCTAGTTTTAATGGTGGAATGGTTGCATAACTAAAAACAAATTGATTATCGAGAGGGGAAAATATATCAGGTGTTATTTGAAAGTATAGTTCTTGCCCATTAGGCATAATAACAGTGGGGAAAGTTATTACCATTTAATGACTGCTTCTTGGAAGCTTACATGTCAACACTGAGAAAACTCACTTTCTACCTAATATGCTTCAGTGAGATTAAGGAGCTGTATACAATCACATAAAAACATTAAAATATATAGTTCAGAGTTACATGGTTGGTGCTTTGAAAAAATAGGAATACTCCCATGCTGATAACAAAATCAAGCTATCAACCCATGTGAATGGCCCCACAACTATTGATCCTTTTTGATAAAATTACCCTATTCATGATAATTAATACAAAAAAAGAAAAAAAAAGCAAAACTAAAATGTGTATATAGAAAGATATTTATAACAGCACAATTCAAATATTGTAAAAAACTGGAAAACAATATAAATATTTAATGATAGGGGAATAATTATTTATGGCATATTAGTTCTGTGTAATTTCACCCAGTCAGTTTAAATGATAAGTATAAAAATTTTAGTTTTTTTGTAAATCACCTTGGAAAAAAATTAAGTATGAATTGCATATACTTTGATTATAATTCTGTATGTCAACTCTTCATTTACACATGGAGGTCAGAAAAATATTAATATAAAAATAATGGTTATCATTTTTAAAAATTAGTAGTACCACATTTACACAATTTAAAATGAAACAGTGACATGCAAATTAAAGTGTAGCTAATCTAGCAAATAGTTACCCAGCTACTTCTCATATTTAAAACATATTTAGGAACTAGAAAATAAACAAATATATGTCAAATGAGCCAAAAAATACATTGGAGTGTCGATGCTCTGAAGTTCACACATTTTATTTGTAGAAGAACACATCCAACTTTCACTCAGAGCATTCTAACAAACATGATTCCTATGCCATAGGAGATGAAACAATATAATCAAAAGGGAGGGAGCAAACCTCAGAAATATAATAATAAGATCTATACATTATCTTATACTATATAAAATGCATTCACATGAAATATTTCCTTTCATTCGTACAAAAACTTTGAGTTGTTTTTATTGTGCTCATCTCCAGAAGAATACATGTGGTTAAGTATCTTTGCCCCAGATCATACAACTTAAATACAGGTGTTCTAAGTTTGAATTAATCTCTTTACTTTCACTGTATCTTCTAGCTTGCAAATTGAATAAACGGTTTATTATATGTTCACTTTGGGATTTGAAATTGTTTTAAGAAAAAATAACCGTAATGGACATTTGTATAGAAATTGATTTCTTTCTTTTAGAATATCCTTGCCACTCTGTGTCTTCACAGTTCTTTTAGTTTACATGGTTCTCATTCCAATCATGGCATAAAAAAGTTGGCAAAACTGAGATTTTTCACATAAAAGTGCCAGTTTTCATGCCAGAAAAGCTCAATAAGTGGAAACATCTGGAATTTTACTTGGTGCTGCTTTATATCATGGATTTTACAAAGAAGACAAGGCTTGCAAAAATGGACATCAAAAGCTTCTGTCATGAGAAAAGACTTCTGTGATCTATATTAACCTGGGTCAAATGGCACTCCTTTGAAGTGAGCTCGAGGCATCGCATTATTCCTTCTCATGCTGTCTTTTGGCTTCATGGGGTACTTAATGTTTTCCAAGGTTCTTTTGGCCAGGTTAATTGGTATTTTCTAGGTTATCCAGAACCCACAAAAGGTCTGCTTAGGGAAATAATTTGGTGCTGTTAATTTTTTTCAGCACACACAAGTGCACACGGTCACACGCACCACACATCCTTGGCATTTACTATCTTAATGCATTGTACTGCATTTCTGATATGTCTTTGTTTTAATAAGCTAAACTTTAATTCCAAGAAAGCAGGTCTGATTGTATGCCTAAAGAGATAATGGGATCCACTGTTCCTTAGATGATAAGTAAAGCTTTAACTCTTTGGTACCTCTCCAAACTGGTGTATGATACTAAACAGATGTGCAATAATTAATGGCAAATTCAGACCTTCTTGCTTGCAGAAGACTATGTGATAACTGAATATGCCATATTTTACTTACTTTCTGGCAATTAGAAAAATAGATATACCACATACTTGGAATGATGAATGAATAGGTACATGCACCACTAGGGTTTCCAGTTCTGGTCTTTTTTCCCACCCGTCATCGCAATCTGCAAGAATATAAAACTGATTCATAACAAAAACAAAACAATAAGAACAACAACAAAACAAGAACCCACACCAACAAACAAACAAGCACCTGGTAAAAGCTACTGGGGTCAGGGCCTACAGATGTTGACAATCTCTCATCCTTGTCTTCTCTTTTGTGATACACTGATGAACATAAGACTATGGCCAAATAGACAACTAAGCCACAGCTGGGACCCAAACAGGTTGAAATGTTCTAATACATATATACTTCTTTGTGTTAAGGTGACAAGTGCTAGGGAATGTTACTGGTACTTTTGGCAAATTTAGAACAAGAAAGTTCACTCATGTGATGTGCAGAGGGAAAGGAATGGGTCATATATCAACATTAGGCCCTACCCCTAGCATATGGGTAAGAGAGAAGGCTCACATTTTTGAATGGATCAAACTTCTGAACTCCTGAATTGTCAAATGGCACTGAGCGTGCACTTAATTAATATTAGCTATTATTATCACTAACTGAAAATAGAAACTTGATACCATAAAATCTCCTTCCCCAAAAGAGAACTCTGAAAAGTATAGCGCTTCAGTGTATAGGCAAATTGTATTATACAACTCAAAAGTCTTTGAGATCATTGCTGCATTTCAATAGAGTGTGATAGAGGGTAAAGATCAGTTTACTTTCCCTTTCAATTAGATTGAATCACTACAAGTCTGCACATTTGGATTGCATTAGTTCATTCTCTTGAAGAATTGCACATCATAAATTATAGTTAAGGTTACATATGTCTTATGACAAAATATGTTAAAGCATTTGCTGGAAATGAGGTTGAAGATTTTCTCTATTATCTAACTTAGTGTGCTAATACAAAATTTTCTGTGAGCAATTCTCTTAGAAATAATTTATTTAAAAACCTCGGCTTCCTTTTAAGAACTATAATACTCCCTCCTTTCTGAAAAAAAAATGAGCAATATAATTGGTTCTGATTACCTGTTTCACTATCTTTACCAGGAAGCTCAGGGCCAACTTAGAAATTCAGGTAAACCAAATATATTGACACTATTTTTTTTCTTTTTTCTCTTTGGTATTAATTTCTCGATTTTGTGTTTTATATTCTTGTATATTCTGCTACTGCATTTCATGCTTCCCCAATCCCTCCCCCTTTTTCTAACTGCCAGCTGCCTCAAGTCCTTTATGGAAAGGAGTAAACAGAAATTCAGTCAATCATTATATCAATTCCATGCTGTGTATTCTCTTAGCATTAAGAAGTGTGCAAATAACACATTATGCATTTATCTAAATTTATTAAATCTGGGGAGGAAAATAATCAGAATGCAAACAAAGAACTTTTAGATGTTAAACTGCTAGGATTGAAAGGATTTTGGAGGTCACCTAGTTACATTTTCAATCTGACTCTTAGCTTTTGCATTCTCATTGGCATCGTATTTTCTAAAGATTTTGCAGAGCTTGGAGTATAATTACATTTTTTATATCTTGTGATAAATAAGCATGTTAAAAACAGGCTCACTGAAATTAAGATAGAAATGTTCAATAATGATAATGTACATCACAGCAAATCAAATCATTTTAACTAAAAGTATTTTAATCTCTTTTATTTTTCCCATAATTTATACACTTGTAAATATCCTAAGGTTCATTTAAACCACTTGTTTCTAAGTACTTTTTATTTATCTAAGTGCTGGTAGATAAGAGTTATTTACTGTCTAAAAATAACATCTAATTTGTGCCTTTGTAAGCTTTTCTAAGATTATCAACTGAAAAAATGTACAGCAATTTATTTCATTATTATTTGAATTTGGGCCAGAGTTCAAAATATAGTAAGCTTAAAAACTTATAAACTTGGCAAACAATCCCAAGAAAAATGACCTGTACATGCTTAGCTGAAAAGGATAGCAAAAGTTCATGGTGGTTTTTAAGTTACTTACGTCCCACCTCCCCTGCTACCCAGTCAGGTTGCAGACAATATAGGAAGATTGTTTAGCAGCCCTGGAAAACCTGACTGAGAAACTGGGGACATCTGAATCATAAAAGTAGCTGCCAGTGAAAATAAAACTGCTAGTTATGGTTGGTTCTGTGTAGAAATGGGCAGTCATCACAGCTGGGTTTACTGGACTGTGTTGAGACTGTTAGTTGCTGTTGTAGAATCTTGCCCTTTGAATCATCCAATTCCTGATTCGGTGAGCCTTGTCAGATGAATTGCCTTGTGGAAAAAGTTCATTCTAAGAAATCCTGAGTAATATGTAAATGGTTGTGACATTCCCTTCCTCTGATAAAGAAATGCAGAAAGGCTTCACTTATTTATTTTAGGTAGACTTAAACTATTCCTTCAGAGAGCTTCCGCGGGGTGCTTAGAGAAGAAATCTTTAGATGTGAGAACTCTCTGCAAAATGTCCCTTGTGTCTCCCAACTTAAATTTATAACAGCACCAAAAATAGGCTGAGGGATACCGCAAGTGGAAGACCATGGGCATTTCTTCATGGACAAATGTCTGCTGCGTTTTCTGTGAAAGTGCATCTTGAGATGACAGCTTGTGTTTGCTCTTTTCTTTCTCTTGGTTTGTTATTTGTTAGTATCGCTTCAGCACATCACATGTTCAGTTAGCCAATTAGTGTAAAATTATTTTATTACCATATGAGGAAGTGTTTGGATACAGATAAAAATACACAGGTTTTTTATTTTCTGAATAACATCGATACAAGATCAGTCAAAAATTAATATTCCAATCAGACTTGATCAATTTTCAGGTGAAACTATATCACTTGCCAGAGCATGTGTTGACCCACATAAATCTTCAGCCGTAATTAAGAGTAGATCATTGTGTTTTTATACTCAGGCATTGAAGAATGATGATTTTTTTTCTTTTTTCTTTGTGTTAATTCCACTAGCCTATATTTAACTCTTTGTATAACCTGCAGCAATTGTAGCAGGTTACAACTGTTCTATGATCTGCTAAACACAGGTCACAGAAGCTCAACTTGGCCAACCCAGATTATATAAAATTACCGCCTAAATTGGGCTCCATCAAGGACTAATCTGAGATGGAGATTCTGTTTTTACAGTACAATTTAGGAAAATTACATGATTTACTAACTGTGTTAATAACACAAAGTTGAGTTTTTAAGTTATGAGAGCTAATATTTGTGCATACATCAAATCAAGATTACTTTGAAGATGATGCTCCAATTTAGGCACCAAACTTAATAAACAAATGTAAAGACATATTAAATTGCATAAAATTTTACACTACCTTGGAAACTAATTTTTGCATGCTTTCGTTTATTTATTTATTTTTATTATAGTAGATGAATTGATACTATATGTGTTAGTCCACTTTGTGTTGTTATAAAGGAATATTTGAAGCTAGGTAATTTATAAAGAAAAGAGGTTTATTTGGCTTATAATTCTTCAGGCTGTATAAGCAGGGCACCTCACCTGCTTGGCTGCTGGTGAGGCCTCAGCAAGCTTACAATCATGGTGGAAGGCAAAGGGGGAACCGGTGTATCACATGGTAAGAGAGGGAGCAAGAGAGAGGGAGGAGGTGCCTGGCTTTTTAAACAACTAGTTCTCAGATGAACTAACAGAATGAAAATGCACTGATCAGCAAGTGGAACGGCACCAAACCATTCACAAAGGATCCATCCCCATGACCGAAACACCTCCCACTAAGCCCCATCTCCAACACTGGGGATCACATTTCAACATGAGATTTGGAGGGGACAAACATCCAAACTATATCATTATACTTTCAAAGTAATTTTGTATACTTTTGTTATCAGCTTTTCAATGAAAAATTTATGACCACGTCAATATTGGAATATGAGGGTAGAGAGACATGTGTGTTAGGAAAGGTGTTTGGGTAGAAATGTAACAGGCTAGGTATAAAAGATGAGGTCAGTAAAAGAGTTGGTCTATCACAGAAGAGTCCCACTCTCCTTAGTCTGTAAGAGATCTGGAATACAGTTCTCTGTGAGAAACCATGCATTTATGGAGTTCCTTATGGCTTCAGGAAGCTGTGAGACACTGTATGTTATTCTGTTACAGTTTTAGGTCTGGTTCTCCAAAAATAAACTCTGATATGGAGATTTGCCTGAGGGAAGTTTACTGGGAAGTGTGCTCAGAAGCAGCACCTGTTGGGGTTGAGGGAAGCAGGATTAGGCAGAGGGAGAAGCTGATGCAGGTGCAACAGAAGCCTCAGCAGATCCCACAGGGAGCTCTGCAAAAGGACAGGCCATTAAGAGTTGGCCCAAATTGAGGCAAGTGGATAGGCCCTTTGCTCTTCCCCACAACCATTCCTATCAAGCAGACACGGGAAAAGGGCTGTCTTGTGAGAGAGGGTGTGAGCCTTGGGCAACTTTGATCCCTTTATCAGAGGCCATTTCTCAGAGTGTGACTTGGTCATGAGTTATCAGCCATTAACATTCCTGATAGCTGGTGTAGTGGTGAATTATATGTGTCAACTTGACTGGATCATTGGTTGCCCAGATATTTGGCTAAGCATTACTTCCCGGTGTGTCTGTGAGAGTGTTTCTGAATTATAATAGCATCAAATCTGTAGACTGGGTAAGGCAGATTGCCCTCCCCTGTATGGGTGGGCATCATCCAATGTGTTGAGGACATGAATAGAACAAAAAGGCAGAGGAAGGGAAAATTTGCTCCCTGTTTGACTACTTGAGCTTCTCCTGCCCTCAGACATGAGATCTTTGTTCTTCTGATACTTAGGACTTTGAACTTGGGCTGAACTACATCACTTACTTTCCTGGGTATCCAGTTTGCAGACAGCAAATTTTGAGACTGCTCAGACTCCGTAGTCATGTGAATCAATTCCTCATAATAAATATAGATGCTCCTAAACTTACAGTGGGGTTATGTCCTCCTCATAAACTCATCATAAGTTGAAAATATTGTAAGTTGAAAATGCATTTTATACACCCAAGGTACCAAACATCATAGCTTAGCCTAGCCTATCTTAAACATCCTCAGAACACCTACATTAGCTTATAGTTTGGCAAAATCATCTAACACAAAGCCTGTTTTATACTAAAATGTTAAATATCTAATTCAATTTATTGAATATTATACTAAAAGTAAAAAACAGAATTGTTGTATAGGTACTCCAAGTATGGTTTCTACTGAATGCATATCACTTTCACACCATAAAGTTGAAAAATCATGAAGTTGAACCATGGTAAGTTGGTTCCATTTCTGTATATCCTATTAGTTCTGTTTCTTTGGAGACTAGCACACTGGGATCATGAGGTCTCTGTTTTGAAGGAGGACTAGGATGGCCTGACCACAGCATTCCCTGTGGTTACCATGTCTTGTAGAATACAGAGCACACAATTATTATATTATTATTGCTATTTATTAATGATCAGAGCTAACACCTTGACCTGTTTATGCATTTAATTGAGACATATTTATGCATGGAGCACTGTGCCTAATGCTCTATGAAGCTAGCCACTTTAAGCATGATCACCGTGTGAGGCAATAGAAAGAACTGGTTATAAACTCAGGATTTGGAGTCAAAGTGCCTGGGTAAAAAATAGCAGCATAGCTTCCTGATTCTTAGGTGTGCAACCCTGAACAAGATCCTTAAACTTAGAGACACTATCTACAGAGTATCTGGAAATGTTAAATGAGCTTAATAGTAAAAAGCATTTATGATGGAATAACACACAAACTATCATATAATTTATACTTAAATACTAGTTATAATTATTGTCTCATCCACTTTACAGATGAGGAAACTGAGGCTTGTAGAGGTCAGTCAAATGCTGAAACACATTGACTCAGGCAAATTGACTATTGAGTTCACTCTCTTGCCTTTTTTGAACATTATCTGTAATAAAGTTCTATGTGTATTTGATATGTAGAGGTCCAGGAAATCAAATAGATTGTGTTCTCCATGACTTCTCAATGAGTTAATCAAACTGAGTGAAGATTAGCTCCATAAAATATTATGGGTTCTTCTGACATTGCAGCATGATTCTAACTTTAAAAGAGAACATTCTTTTCATTCTATTCATTCATTATCCAATGAAAACTTTTGAGTTGGGCTATTGTGTTCCATCTATTTTCTTGGACTTCAAAATAAAGTGATCATCAGGGCAGTCGTTGTTCCTGCACTTGTAAACTTATGATCAAATAAGAAAAGTGTGTTAAATTTTATAAAAGAGAAACATAAACTATGTGAATATAAAAGGAAAAGTGAGTTTCAAATTTAGGTAATACTTAAGTACCTACTAAAGTTATGGCCAAAACTGCCACTCCAGCACTCATAATCTACATGAATCATTAATGGTGATCCTACTTCCCCTGACTCTTAATGTGGCCTCATAGAATATAGTAGAAACATTAAAATGTAAAAATTTAGTAATACAAGCAAGCCATCTCACTCAATGGCTATATGCCCTGAAGAGAGCATGAAATGGGAGATATTACTTTGCTGTTCAGTCAGTTGATTTCAGTTTCCATTTACTTCTTATGATATGTACAGTTTATTGAGCTGGGTATAATTCTTATGTTAAAGATACTTACTTTTCCAAAACATGGCCTTTCAACATGAACTATTTTATCTGTGGTGAATTGAAGAAATAGCAATCTTTTCAAATCCTGGAGGAAGATTTCTGGTGTTGATCTTATTGGTCTCCAATGTAGCATAGAATACAACCATGCATGGTACTTCATCCATGATTAAAGGGATTTTTAGTTTTAGTTTTGATTATATCCAATTTTTGCTTTATGTGCTCACTTTAGAACTTAACCTCCAAATAAGATGTAACTCCATAGAGTATTTTCCTTATCTGAATGGACCCCAGAGCCAGGTAAACTTGGGCTGAAATCACAGTACTCTCATAACTGGCTGTGTGATTGGGAGAATTCAATTAACTTTTCTATGCTTCATTTTCCTCCTCTGTAAAATGGGGATAATCTTACAATACAGAGTTGTTGAAGATTAAATGAAAACATATGCAAAGCCCTTAGCACAGAATTTTATTGAGCAATAGTAGTCTATTAAGAAAAGTCCTTGCCAAACATAGAACTCTAGAGAGTCAGAGTTGGCACAGCAGCTAAAACTTACTTTGTGCTGACATGTGTATTAGGAGCCAGTAAAACATTGAAGGAACTAGTATATAAAACAGTGATTAAGTTTAGTTTTGGAGTTAGTGCTGAGCTTGAAACCCCACTTACTATGCTTACAAGCTTTGTAACTTCGGGCAAGTTATTTAACTTCTCTAAGCTGTTCATCTGTAAAATGATACAACTAATAATTCCTACTTCACAGGGTTGTTGTGAGGATTAAATGAAATGATCCATGTAATGCACTTAGCTGAGTTCCTGGCACACAGTGTGCACTCCGAGGTGTTAGCTTTTATTATGGGAAAATTTCACACACTTGAGCATTTTAATCCCTTTCACAGTTCTTCATTTTGTAAGAAAAGAGACTCAGTGATTTGTCTAGCTGGTAAGTGTTGATACTTGTCTGAATCATGGATCTTTTGACCCCAAATTTCCTACAACCTGCTTCCTGTCTGTCCCTCCTTTCCTTCCCCTGACAAAATATAGGCAAGTTCCTGTTAAAACTTTTACTGTTGATATAATTTTACAATTGCATAAACCTGATACTCAAACTTAATTCCTCAACTAAAATTAAACTCATGGAAACCCCCTGGAAGGTTGCAATCACACACAAATATGTCAAAATGTGAAAGGTCACAATACCAGAATGAGTCTCTAGAAATAATTCAGGGGATATGTCAATCTGAAATATGAAGACAGAATTTTAAAAAGAAAATAAAAAAGATAACTTTCTGCGCATACAAAGCATAGACTAGAAGTGACAGGAGAAGGGCATAAAAGCACACTTTTCACTGTGTTTGTCTTACTTTAGGGATAATTCACAATTATTTCATTTCATGGCCTAAGGAAACTACAATCTCTTGCTCGCTCATTAGTATCCATTTTTTCTAGTTATAGAAGCCTCTTATTATTTGCAGCTTTAAAATAATTTTAGTATTTACATTTTTCAACTGGGGGTAGAGTATTTCCTTTGAGCAGAAGAAATAAGGTAATGTAGGATTTCCATTGGTTAGATACCTGATAAAATTGGTCCATGTCTTTGAACCCTAGACTCTAGTGTGATAAAAAGATATTTAGGGTCATATTCAGAGTCATTAGAGCCCTGAATTCAGAGTGCCTGCTGCATATCACACCTTTCGCACAAAGGAACCATGTACAAATTCAAGGTAGTAGTGGTTCTAATTTAGTCCGTCTATGTCATGATCATTCATTCTCCATCTGGTTTAGGTGAACCCTTCTATCCTTTGCATTTAAGCCTCCCTAACAGTCACTGACCCAGAAAAGTGAAGCACATAGTTCCAACAAATTTGATGTAATTGTACTGCCTCCTCTTCTCCTATCACTGTCTGTTCTCATTCTGACTCAACTCCTGTCCAATTTCTGGCACCAGACTGATTCTCTCCTACTCTTTACATAGTGTCTGAGGAGCTCCTAGCTTTCACGTCACCCTCAAGGATATTGGCTTTGATGGCTTGGACGTGTTTTTGGCTCTCCCTGGGATATCCAGTGCTAATTGCTGTTCCTGCCCTCCCACTGACTTACCTACCTGCAGCCCAGGAAGACAAATACAGCAGCATCAGGCAGACTTCTTAGATATCTGTTCCTCTCTCAGGGGATTTCATAATCATTCCTCCCTACCCCATTCACCACTAGCATAATGATAATTTCATATATGTATACATAATATACATATTATTATTATATTATTCTTGCATTACTTTGTTCTTTCTTTTTAAAATTGTTTTCTTTTAAAAATATTTATTTTTAATTGACAATAGTTGTGTATATTTATTGAAGCATAATGTGATGTTTTGATCTACGTAGAAAGATGCATCATTATAGAAAGAGTCAGTCAAGCTAATTAACATATCCCTCACCTCACCAACTTAGTTTTTTTATGGCAGGAAAAGTCAATCTCATAGAAACAGAGCATAGAAAGGTGGTTCCCAGCGGCTGTGGGAAAGAGGGAGGGATGGGGAGAGATGCAGATCAAAGCGTCTACAGTTTCATTTAGACTGCAGGAATAAGTTATTGCACAGCACGGTGATCATTGTTAATAATAATGAATTGTGTATTTCAAAATTGCTAAAAGAACACATTTTTAACATTCATGCACTGCTGTTTTTTATTTTTACATTTTATTTATTTATTTTAAGGTGGATGCCAGGGTGTTACTTTGTATGAAGGCAAACCAGCCTATGAAAAGGAGGAGGGATGCTGTGAGTCTAAAATGGCTTGATGGTTCTGCTTTGTTTTATTTGTATGTTCATTGCTAATACTTTATTAACTTTTTTTTGTATTTTCTTAAACGTTTAAGTTTGGCGTACATGTGCAGGTTTGTGTAAATTATGTGTCATGGGGATTTGTTGTACACATTATTCTGTCACCTAGGGAATAAGCATAGCACCTGATAAGGAGGTTTTTGATCTTCCCCCTCCACCGTCAAGTAGGCCCTGATGTCTGTTGTTCCCTTCTTTGTGTCTATGTGTACTCAATATTTAGTTCGCACTTATAAGTGAGAACATGTGGTATTTGTTTTTATGTTCCTATGTTAGTTTGCTTAGGATAATGACCTGCGGCTCCATCTATCTTGCTGCAAAGGACGTGATTTCGTGTATTTTTTTATAGCTGCATAGTATTCCGTGATATATATGTACCATATTTTCTTTATCCAGTATATTGTTGATGGGCCTTTAGGTTGATTCCATACCTTTTCTATTGTGAATAGTGCTGCGATGAACACAGGCATGCATGTGCCTTTGTGGCAGAACGATTTGTATTCCTTTGGTTATGTACCCAAAGATAAGATTGCTAGGTCAACTGGTAGTTCTGTTTTAAGTTCTTTGAGAAATTGTCAAACTTCTTGTCATAATGGTTGAACTAATTTACATTCCCTCTAGCAGTGTATAAGCATTCCCTTTTCTCTGCAACCTCACCAGCATCTGTAATTTTTTGATTTTAAAAAACAGCCATTCTGACTTGTGTGAGATGGGTATCTCACTGTAGTTTTGATTTGCATTTCTGTAATAATTAGTGACGTTGAGCATTTTTTCATATGCTTGTTGACTGCCATTGCTCTTTTTAAATCGCCTTTTTAAAAAACATAAAATCTGTATGTGCAGTGATTTACACATTTATACATTTTTCATTCTGAAATTATAACATAGTAATGAATACTTCTATAGATTTACTATGTGCCAAGTACTATTTCAAGCACTTTATACATATCAAACTCATTTAATATTTAAAATTACCGTTATCAGGTAGGTAATATTGTCTTCATTTTACAGATGAGATAACTGAACTATGGAGAAATTAAGTGATTTGTAAAAGGTTACCAAATACTATTAAGTGAAAGTCACATAGCATTCTAATTATTGTATATTAGTGCATTAAATCTATTCAATCATTGATGACATTGACCCTCCTTGGTTGACGTGGTTCTGGGTACAGAATTCAGTAACAATGAAAGATGTTTTTTTCTACAGTTTCTTCTTCATTTCTCTGAACTCATTTCCCCATTGAAATATCATTCTTCCCCTCAAAGCCCAGTTCTTTTATTGTCTTCTCAGGAGAAAAACAATGCTAATAGAGAATGTTTAATAAAAAGTATCATGACTCAGAAGAAGAAATGTAAATGCTTCATAAACATATAAAACAATGCTCAACCTTAATGATAATCAGGAAAATGTAAATAAGGCAAGACAATATTTTTCACCTAAAAATTGGCAAAATTTTGAAAGATTGATAGCCATGAAGTTACAGAGTGAAATGTTCCATACATGCTTTGCTGCTGGATGTACAAATTGGTGCAGCCTTTTTGGATGACAATTTGGCAGCATCTAATAAAAACTTACATATGGATAATCTTCAAAGCACCAATCTAGGTATCTAACATAGAGAAGTAATCAGAAGTAGAAGGTAATAGAAGGTAAATAGAAAGATGTGTGCCAAGTCATTAATAATAAGAGAAAATCCATCAATTGGTAATTATTTGAATAAATTATGGTGCTCACATCAGTAGAACACCATGTGTTTCACAATTTCAAACAATCAGATAAATATACACATGTGCTAACATTTGAAAATCCACAAGATACACTGTAATTTGAAAAAGCAAATTTTAGAAAGATAAATAAAGGCATCAGTTTAGCTAAAAAAGAAACACAACATTATGAACTTCTACATGGACATGTATGCCATACACATAGACACCAAATGGAGTAGTAGCTGAAACTTGCTTTATCAAATTATAATTTTCCAAGCCCTAAGTCCCACTGTTTTTATCTATATTGCTCCGCTGCCTAGCTTGGCCTTCTAAATGTTGAATCTACTATTTTCCCTTTACCTGGCTATTTTATCTGAATGCCAAATAGGCTGAGCCTTGGACTCCGGATGTTCCAGTGGTCTATTTAATAGTTTTCAATGTTCCTGTAGAGAGCTCATTGATAGCCACTTTGATTGTCCATGATATTGTGTTTCTGACCTCAGGACAAACCATGATTCTAAAGTAGACCAGGCAGGCTTCTGAATACTGTGAACTTCCAGAAACTATTACAAAGGAACTCAAGTACTTGGGAAAGGAAGGAGCAGTCAACTGAACTGGACAGGTATGGGAACTAAATAGCTGAGAAAAAAACAGTGTAGGAATAACGTCAGATGTGTTTCCCAGGTTCCAGGCCAGACATTTCCTGGGAAAAAGCTGGAAACACAGTGAAAAGCTGGAGACATTGATGAGAAAAACACAAGAAATGTTTATGGTAATTAAAAACCAGAATATGGGACATGGTTGCTAAAGTGACTTAAGTAATTCTAAATGACACACGTGTTTCCCAGACCAAGTATGATCATGACACACTTTTACAGGCATTGTCATAATTTTATTGTTGCCATTGAGTCCTCCATTAAATGTTCTCCTTTTTCTCCCCTTCTCTCAATATGATGACCAATTTTGGCTTTGTAGCAGTAGTATTTTTGTACTGAAGGCCTCATTGCCCACAGGCCTCCTTTTTATTCTGTAGGCACTGGAATCAGTCCAGTTGCTCCTGAGAATCTATTACTATGGAAGCAGAAGGAAGACGTGACAGCATCATCTTATTGGGCTTGGTATAAAAGGAGCAGGAAGAGCACTGGCTGTAAAAAGATGTACTACAACCTTTAACACTATGCGTTTATCTTGCACACTAGGGAGTATTTTGAAATCCTCATACTGCTCAGCTATCCTAGAGAGATTGTAGGGAAGGGTTGTCATCCATTCCTGAGTTGCATGGATCTAAATAGATCCAACTGTATTTCTCCGGAGAGAGCAGTATGATCTCCAACAGCTGATATGATGGTGGCTGCAGAAGTCCAAAGGTGAGATCCAAGAGGGAAAGGTAGAACTTAAGGAGAACCTAGTTGTAATCACTGATCCTGTTTGGACATTTTTTTCCATAGGTAAGCTCTGGAGGTTCTGGGCCTAGTTTAGGAAACAGTTTTCAGATATAGCTATCTTTAGCAGTAGAAATCACCTCACTTTGGGGGCTGTTGAAACAGAGGCAGGATGATTGCCTCTCAAGGTGTTATGGAGAAGACTTAGGAATCAGATAAAATGGAAACCCTAGATGATGCCACAGGGAGACCTGAAATCTCAGAATTTAGAATCATCAAGTTCTCAGTGTTAGTCAAAAATCATATAGAGTTGTCAAATATGGTGTAGTATATTTTGAATTTTTGGAGAAAGCAATGCAATATACCATTAACTTGGGTAGTAGATCCTAGGCTAATCATTAATTGAGTTCTATTACCCTAAAATCTCCCAAGCAACCAAATTCAATAGTGACAAAGGATTATTCATATGATGTCTTCTTAAATTGTGAGGGTCTTATTCTTATAAAATAATTTTTAAAAATCAGTATACATGCCAATGTCCAATAAAGATATTCTTCGTACTCTTCAGAACTAGTAATTTCAGAACAATTATGTGTCAAATATCTTCACATTTTTCTGTATGATCTTTAAAATAACCAAAAGTGTTTAAAACCAGGGCACTCATAATATTTGTTTTTCAAGCTACAGTCATTGAACTTTGCTTTCTTCTTTGTTTAAATTTATAAGACTTGGCCCAAAACCCAAGTCTCTGGGTGCGCATGTTAACACGACTTGGAGGCAACAGAGTGTTTAGAAACCATAGTGATGCGTGTTGTTAAAACAGATTTTTAAAGTAATAACAACTCTTGAACTTGAGCTCTACTGTTGCAAAAGCTTGATTAAAAAGAAAGCATTTGTGGTTTGAAAATCAACTTATTATTTGCCCTCTAAGGATAATGAAGAGAAGCATTCAGCATAACCAACCAAAAATCTTCCAAACTTAATAGAATTCAATGAGAGCAAAACAACAGTTATGCAATCTATAACATTCCTGGAAATTTAAAAACAATAAACATTCATTGTTTTTATGAAATAGAACTCATTTGGTCATTCCCTCTTTGTCCTAATTGTTTCTATCATACATTTACAGGATCATTTTCAAAGGCAATCAGGGAAATAAAAATGATTTTGTAGCCCCCCACTAGGAGACATCTCATTTTAGCCTTGATTCAATTATAATGTGAGTCAAATAATTTGCTTGTTTTTTCATAGTTTATGTTGTAGCTTTCATAATATAATGTAAAAAGCCTCCAAATGCTTGGCTGGGTTCTTCACTATGATGTCATATTTGTAGTCCAGAGGCAATATTACTATTAATGACAATGATAGTTAATATTTATTGACTACTTACTATATGCCTATTACTCTCTATAGAATACATATACAGACACACACACACACACACACGCATATTGTGTCAGAAAAACGCTATTAAAGAAATTTAGTGCTTGACTGTTTTGAGTTAGTATTGAGTTAGTAATCTGAAAAATACCCTCTACTTACCATTATCTCCATTTTTTTTTTTTTTGGTGGTGGTTTGACCTTTACTTCATCACTTCTATGTCCTTTCTGTTCAATATTTCCAAAATGGCTACCCAGTTGATCACTTCTTTGATTTGAGCAATTGGTTCTTTGGTAGTGGCCTCTACCTTGACTAAGGTTTTCTCCTTGAGATTTCTTTCTCTGAATTCCAGACTGGACTCTCCTTTTCCTGGCTGGGTTCCAGAAGGTTGAACTTATTAAACTTATTATGCTCTAGAAGGTGACAGGACGATGTTATCTACTGGAAGGGATGATGATAGGAATTAGCATGGTCATCACCTTCCATGAACAGGTGCTCTCTATTCATGAGGACATACAAAGCTATCATGTGCTTATCACTGTCTATAGGTATGGCTTTTCAGTTTTCTTTCTGGATAGACAATAAGCAACTTAAGTTCAGACCATTCTATGTTTTCTGCTGTTGCATACTGATTTCCTAGCACAGTGTCTGGCTCAATAAGAAATATTTGCCAAGTTAAGGATCTAGTAGAGAAAAGTAAGGATATAAACTTATATTATAGTAAATGATATAAATGATATATAAACAATGATATAAAAACCAGGTGTGGTGGCTCACGCTTGTAATCCCAACACTTTGGGAGGCTGTGGCAGGTGGCAGGTGGATCACTTGAGGCCAGGAGTTGGAGACCAGCCTGGCCAACATGGCGAAACCCTTTCTCTGCTAAAAATACAAAAACTAGCCGAGCATGGTGGTATACACCTGTAGTCACATCTACTTGGGAGGCTGAGGCACAAGAATCACTTGAACCCAGGAGGTGGAGGTTGCAGGGAGGCCAGATCTTGCCACTGCACTCCAACCTGGGCAACAGAGACAGACTCTGTCAAAAAAAAAAAAAAAAAAAAAAGAGAGAGATGATGCTGAAAGTAGATATTGAAGGCCACAAATATCTTTCTCCCTTAATATTTCATAGCAATATGAGGGAATTCTGCTATTATATCTTAAATTTGATGATAATATTATTTTAGGTATAATACCTGAATTACAGTTTGTGAGTTTTAACTTCTTAAAGTGATTTTACAACCCATATCACATTCTAAAAAATTATTTCTTATTTTTTAAAGACAGAGTCTAACTCTGTCATCCAGGCTGGAGTGCAGCAGTGTGATCATAGCTCCTAACCTCAAACTCCTGGGCTCAAGTACTCCTTCTGCCTCAGCCTCCCTAGTAGCCATGAGTATAGGAGTTTTATAATCATAATATGTTTTTGAAGGAGATAAAGATGGCATTGCTTTCATTTTGCAAATAAAGAAATTGAGGTAAAAAATGTTTAATCAGTACAGATCTTTCTAAGCAGCCATGCTGTCAATACAATTTATGTTGAATAGACAACCCCTTGGCAGCAATGTTTTTGACCTCAGGCTCTATGCCCTGGGGACATAGTCAATGGGATTAAGGGATGAGACTAATCCAAAACTCAACCAATCAATAAACTGGCCTGAATGCAGAAGATAAATTGAGTGTATTAGATTCTATCTCTGGAGAATGCTGAGAGGAAATGGCAGATTCGTGTAGAGCCATGGTTATGAGGGAGCAGAAGCCGTGGATAATAGGCACAAGGACGTATAGAAAAGCTATGGACTGGGGGACAGCAAAGCTGGTGGAGAAGCAGGGAGATGCAGGAGGGAGAGAAAGTAGTCAAGTCTTGAAAAAGGCATGAGATTCATACAGCTGCCACAGACCAAGAAACAAGTCTTTAGTTTCTGCTGTTCCTGAAGCCTGTATGTCTAGGTTATCATGTGCCACTTCCATTGCCTGCAGGAACTTGAATGAATTGCTGTTTCTGATAACAGAAACAGTGGAAGAATGCTCAACCATGGTAGAAGGTTTGATGACCAGCTCAGGGGCATTGCCAGAGCTGGGATGACCTCATGGCAAGCAGGGCTGGGTACCTTGATGAGAATCCTAACTAAAAAACTCCATCAAGGAGAAAGTGACAGGTGAGCTACTATTCAGGCTGGGATGTAAGGCTGGACTTGTGACCATGGGCACATGAATAGTGTGAGTCCAGCAGTGAGGCCATGCCACTACTCAGTGGGCAAGAGATTCTCTTTTCTGGGTCTCCTCATTCTCCCAGACCAAAAACAACAGTGGCTTTGGAACCTAGGGCATGATTGAGACTGTTGCTGGGATCTACGTGGATCCAGTTGTATTTCTCCAGTCTCATCTCATCTTCCCTGCCCTTACTAATTATACTTTCTGGATGCATTGGATTTTTTTTTTTAATTTCTTAAGTATTGCTCTAATCTTTTTCTTCTGATGATTTTACTCTTTCCTAATTATTAACATTTACTTATTCTTCAGGTTTTGGTTAAGCATCTTTCTCTTTGAATGTCTTCCTTAACTAATCATTCTAAAATACACTACCCTTTTTAATTTATGTCAGAATAATTTGTAGCTTTTACTCAATGCCCATAATAGAGTTTTAAATTGTGTGTTTACTTGTATGTGAAGTGTATGTTTTCCCCCCTGGACCTTACATTCAGGGCCTAAGTTTTGGCTTAGTAGCTTCTATATGCCTAATACCTAACCTTGCTGGTGCAGAATTAGTTTTTAATAACATCTGATTAATGAATAAATATATACATGGGAATTAAAGAGAGGCAGGAGTAGGGAGTCTGGCGTATCATTATTAAACCAAGTATTTGTTTTCCTTCAATAGATCATTATGGTTATCTAATGATAATTTTCTTCTTACTGTACAACTATACTCCATTTTAAGTGATTTTAGTCTCCCTGAATGTCCTTTTTAAAAGATTATCATCAAGGAAATTTCTTTGAGTGAATTTTCTTGATGTTATGTGAGTGACATATAATGTGTGATAGTATTAATGACAGTCTTAAATTGCTGCCTTTTAAATAATTTTTCAAAAAGCTTTCCAAAAGAAAGCCCCAGAACATACAATGTCATTTGTAAATTATGTCACTGTTTTCTTAAAAAAAATTACATTTGTTGATTTCAGTTGGAAATCTGAGTATTATGAGCAAGAGAGACTCAGAAGATTTTATTCCTTTAGAATGACAGTCTAATTCTGATTGCCTAGTTTGTGTTGGCCCTGTAGAATCTAGCATATCATGAACAATTTTATCCATTTTTCTTATCAGGTTCTATACCAAATTCACAGTTGGATTAGCAGAAGGGAAGGCAGAGATGTCAAAGAAACAGATGCTGGCATTGTAAAAGCAGATGCTCTATGCTTAATTTTACATGCCAAAAAATTCTATTATTAAAATTCAACATCTGTCTTTTTTAGAGGAATTACATACTCTCAATCAGGTTGAAAGTAAGTCTTGGTACTCAATTGAAGGCTTTTTTTTTTTTTTAAACTCAGAGTGTTATTCATTTGAAAATCAAGTCAATAAACCAGATGTAAACCTCTTCCAATATTTAGAAGGCCTTCACAGTGATGTATGAGAGTAGATTTAGATGTAAAAAGTTCTTGTATGAATTGCATCTAATTTTTGCTTCCTGAACACTTCCTTCTCCCTTGACGAGTCTGGCAATGTCAGGGAAGCTGGTGTAAGACTACCGTTTAGAAGAAAGCACAAAAAGGCAGCCTCGGTTTCTGAGGAACTAAAGTCTGAGCCCAGGAGGGTTCCTAGAGAGACTTTTGATCAGTAATGAAGGGAGACCTATCTAAGCCTGTGCTTTGAAATCCTGCATCCTTGATAAGGTCAAAGATACAGAGCTAGCTGCCCTAGGAACCTAATTAAAACCCTCATTCTCTCAGAGAAATTAAACGTTGGCAGGAAGGAAGGCACCAGCAGCTGTCAGGAAGCCATTTCTTCAAGGACAGCTGCACCTTGACAGCACTTTAAAAGTGTTTTCTTCATCTGCTCTGCGAACTTCTAAAAATCAGTTCTTTCATCTCTGATTTGACAGCTGGCCCTGAACAACTTGGTGAGTCTATGCTGCTTTTCTTACTTAGGGAACTGTGTTTACACAAAGGACTTCTCATTTGTGGCAACTCAAAGTTGCAATGATTCGACAATGAAGCAATGGATGGCCCAGTCATTAGAAGGCAGGTGAAAGGGAAGCATCATATTAATCAAGGAACTTGAGTTCCCACTGTAATGCATTTGTCAATTAGACATAGAGAGTTTCAGTGCAGCTCTTCACTTGTTTTTTGTAGGGAGAGGGTTGGAGAATCCCTTTAATCCTAAAGAAACTGGCTGGCAGGAAGGCATTTAGACACTCAACATGTATTGATTTGTTTTTAGACTTTCTGCAGACTTGGAGGAAAGAATGTAATGCCTCATAGGTTTCCATAATACTTCCCAATGTGGGTTCTTGTGAGTCCACTGTGATTCCCATCAGGAAACTTCAGGAAGAAATTGCTTTTTATCTATGGGTTTGGAATATAGATATTGAAGCCTGTAAGAAGGATTAGGGTTTGACACTGGCTAGAAGATGAGAAAATCCTCAAGGCAGCATTCCGACGACAAGAGAGTGAAATAGAAAACTTGTTAAAATGTCAGAGGAAAAATATTTCTACTGCAAGGAGCTATCAAGGATATACTTTACTTCTTGCTAAAGACTGAGTTTGAAAATTGGGAAGCATTAATTTTATAAATATGTCAAGACTGTGATGCATTTGAAAGAAATCAACTTGGTAATGACTACAGAGGGCAGACTTCTCTCTCAGGACTATTGGAAAGGTTTTATAAAATAATGCCTGTAGATGCCCAAGATAGCATCTGTTATATAATGCTGAAATCAGTATTAAAAGCTGCAAACAAACAAAAAATTAAAATTAGTTATTACATAGGCATTTCTTTTAGCATTTACCATTTGTAAGTTCTCCTTTTAACTTATATATGTTGGTTTTAATAGAAATTATTATGATCTCTTTAAAAGGCCAACTAATTCTTTTTTTTTTTTTGAGATGGAGTCTTGCTCTCTTGCCAGGCTGGAGTGCAGTGGCGTGATCTCCGCTCCCTGCAATCTCTGCCTACTGGGTTCAAGTGATTCTCCTGCCTCAGCCTCCCAGGTAGCTGGGATTACAGGTGTGCACCACCATGCCCAGTTAATTTTTGTGTTTTTAGTAGAGACGGGGTTTCACCATGTTGGCCAGGATGGTCTTGACCTCTTAGTCTCGAGATCTGCCTGCTTCGGCCTCCCAAAGTGCTGGGATTAGAGGCATGAGCCACCGTGCCTGGCCAAGGCCGACTAATTGTTTCATCCAACTACAACTTGGGAGCCAGAGTTAACTGGTGCATAGTGACAGTACCAGCATTTTCTCTAGTATATAAAGAAAAATAGTACAAATGCCAGAAGTCTACATGATTCTCTGGTCTCTCCAAAGGATAATGGGTTCTAGCAGTTTGCTAGAACTCCCCCTGATGCAATGGAATTCTAGAAGAAGAAGTGGTTAGATCTTCCTACATGAATGAGAGAAGGTGTCACAGAGATGCTAGTATTTAGGCTGATATTTCAAGTATGAGCAAAAATTTTCTGTAGGTGTAATAGAGCAAAAATTTTCTGTAGGTGTAATAGAGATGAGTAAGCAAATGTGGTATGCCCAGGAACCTGCAAATTCAGCTCCTGTATTTGTTCCCTATAATTCACTCTTGATCCGGCAACCAAAGTGCTCCTTTTAAAACATAAAAGTATTGTTATGTCATTCCTCTGCGTAGTACCCTCTTTTAGCTTCACAATATCAAGCCCTCTTGTCTCTCCTGGTCTACTCTCCCCCTGCCTACTCCCCTTCTGACACACTGGCCTTCTTTCTGTTCCTTGAAGGTACTGACCTCCTTCCTCTTCAGAGTCTTTATCCTCATCCCCTCTCCTAGAAACTTCTCCCTCCAAATTATCATTCAGCCCTTTCTGGACCATCTTTCCAATCTTGTTACTCCTATAACATTTTTTTTTTCTGATTCATAGCATTTATCCTTCTTTGAATTTATTAATTTTGATACTTATTATCTCACTAAAGAGAATAGGGGCATCATCTAACTTTGAGAAATTTCTTGTTGTTAAAACAGACTTGTCATATATGATAGATGTTCCACAAATGCTTATTGAGTGGATGAGTGAAGAATGAGGAGGTGAATATTTTTGTAGAGCTGAAAAACAGTGGAAGTGTCAGAAAATAAGACTTGAGTAGACAGAAACCAGATCATTAGGGATGTATGCTGTGTTAGAAACTTTAGATTTTATTCTGAGAGAGTGTGGAAGGCATTACATAATTTTGAGAAGGTGGGTAGCATTCATAATAATTACTTAGCTTCTGTGTGGAGGGATGGATTAGGGACAAGGCTGGAAGTAGGGAAATGAGTTAGATGAGTGTTCCAACATCCTTTGAAGTGGGGATGATGGAAGGAGATTTGCATGGTAGTTGTTTGAGTTGTGAAGTCACTGCATGAGGTAGAATATTGGCTTTATATATTTTTTATCTGTGAAATCTTGGCAAATTGTTTACACTCTTCACAGTGGTTACAAAATGTGCTTGCCATATCTCTGACTTGCAGGGAGGGTAGCAGCCCCAGCTATTGTGCTCTGAATCCATCACTGCATTCCCTCTGAGGCCACATTTCCCTGGGCTTTCACTGGCCAGTGACTGAGCATGGGAGGGATACTAAAACAGGCCCTTTCCTGAAGATGTGAGCCCCTCTGGACAGTGAATTTAGGTTGGGAACTCTCCATCTGCTTTTCAAAACCTTCTTATAACTGCACCGAAGTATTAAGAATTTCCTATTCAATTTTCCTTTCTTCTCTCCCTCATTTGCAGAAGTGACATCTTCATCTGACACCTTTCCCAGCCTCCTGTGTCTCCCATCCCATTTTCCCCGTCACAGGTGATTTTCCCAAGAAATCCTTTGCTAATCTTGTCTTGATGCCAGCTTCTGGGGGACCTGAATTGACACAGTCTTTCAGTCTTAATTTTTTCAATTAATCCCCATATCATAAGATTCTATGATAATTCAGTGAAATAATATATGTTGAAATACTTAACGTGTCATTGACCTAGAGCTCAATAAATATATTGCTGGTTTTGTTTTTACTATCTGAAAGGCAATTAGAGAGAGAACAGATAAAACTTTGTGATTGCATGGACATTTGTAGTTAGTAGATAAAGGTGTATTCCCAGGTTTTTGATCACTCTTGAGTAACTGAAGCAAAGGTTCTCCATTCCACAGAAAAGAAAATGTAGGAAAAATATGTTTGCAGAAAAAGGGAAGGAAAACAGATTTTGTTTGAAAGTGTTACTCTTGGGGTTCCTCTAGCACATCTTGAAGAAATGCCCAGTAGGTCATTTGACCCATGAATATGAAGCTCAGAAAAAGATTTAGGCTACAGATTCTAATGTCAGTGTCCTCAAGATACGATTGACAATAGGATAATGCACAGGATGAATAAGTGGTCTGAGAAGAAAGCTGTAGTGAACAGCATATTTAAAGTGCAAAAAGGAGGAGGTTTTAGGAAACGAGAGAGAACAGAGAGCGGGTATCAGACAATCTATTGGAAAGTTACAATTAAGTTCAAAAATAAAGATGTGGGTCAAATGCAGTAACACAGAAAACTAAGAAAATGGTGTTGATTTTTATATAATAATTGCTTGTCTGACAATACAGTGGAATTGGGAAAAGCTTGGAAGTCTGGGAAAAAAATTCAGATTCACACCTTATATTGTAAAGCTAAGTTTATGTGTAAGTATATAGATAAAATAAATATAAAGCCCAAACAAAGACTATCTAGATTCTTACCCACTCAGTTTTGATTAGAGTTGAGTAGAATTAAATCCTGGAGAGCTAATAGTTTTCTATGTATTACTTGGAAAAATATAATCAGGTTCAACTATATAAACATTTTAAAAATTTGTAAGACTAAAATTAAAATAACATCATAAATTTATTGATTTAATGAAAATCAATAAATTTAGGGATTTTGCATAAAATGGAAGACAAAGCATTTACATCAACATTATCATACAAAATATAAGTTCAATAAACACATTGACAGATGACATAAAAAGATAATTCATAGACTAGAGGGAAACAATGTAAACAAACATATGGGAGATTTCTACTTCATTAGCTATGAAACATATGGAATAGTGTTCAACTTGTTAATTTATTCGGGTACAAAAATTAAAACCAAAAAGTATGGAGGTAAAATTTTATACTCATAAAAGTAACAAAATAAAAAATAAGTTGACATTACTATATATCCTTTCAGTTATTTCACTTCTTATATTTCTTGTGTCATATAAATCATTACATTTATTTACTATTTGAGCAAATATCCTTTAAATGTCTACTGTGTTTTAGTTACTACTCTAGTTACTAGGGATAAATGATGAATAAGAGTGGTAACGTCTTCCTTAATATCATTCACTGACATATCTCCTCCTTTTTCTCTCATTAGTATTGTCTTAAGAGTTTAGTCATTAATTATTTCTTGCTTAGGGTAGTAATATTGTGAATCTATTGGCTTACCCTTTCTGAAGCAAATTCTTTACCTTGCTACTGAGTGACTTTTAAAAAATAAGCTTTTCTGAACTTTATCATACATATCAAATAATATACTAAATATGATGCCTAGATTTGTGATTTTAATTACATTTAATTATGAATAATGAGGTAGAGCATCTTTTTATGTAGTTATGAGCCATTTGTGCTTTCTTTTTTATTAAATGCCTGTTCATGTTTTCATCGCATTCCCTTCTGCCCCCAATTTAGTTGTCTTTTACATAACAATTTGGAGAGCTTTATATTCTATGCCTACTAATCCTTTAATACTTTTGTTTGTTATGTGTACCCACACATATATACATTTTTTTATCTCTGATCAGCAGAAGTTCTTAATTTGAATTTTAAAACGGTCAAATTTATCTATCTTTTATTTTTAAAGTTTGCATTTTTTTTGACTTTTTTATGAAATATTGTCCTATCACACATTCATAAAAATTGTCCTATATTGTCTTCTAAATACTTTATGAGTTTGCTTTTCACATTTATTTTTAATCCTCTAGAAATTGATTTTTATATATGATTGCAATAAGGATCCAATTTCATTTCTTTCATATAAATAAGCAACTGTTGCAGCACCATTTATTAAATAGTCTATCCTTTTTCTACTGCTTTGCAATACTATCTCTGTGTGGGTCTGTTTTGGGGCTCTTTCTCCTATTCTGTTGGTCTATTTCTCTAGCCGTACTGAAGCATACACTGTCTTAATACCTATAGCTTTATGATAAAGTATTGTTAGTCTGTAGCCTTGCCTTCTTCTATAGGAATGTCTTATATAATTTTGGCTTCTGGCTCTCTCATGTGAATTTTAGAGTCAGCTGCCAAGTTCCATGAAAGAGAAAAAAAATCCTGTTGGGATTCTAATTGGAATTGCATTGAATCTATAGATCAACCTGAGGGAATTGACATCTTTGTGATTTTGAGTTTTTTTAATCCAATAACATGGTTTATTACTCCATTTGTTTGGGTTTTTTTAATAGCTTTCAAAAAAGTTTTACAGTTCTATTTATAACTATTTTGTCAGCTTTATTCCTAGATTTATTCCTATTTATATTTTTGTTGCTAGAATAATGGTTGTATTTCAAAGCCACATTTTAAAAACTGTTGTTGGTATTAAAAAATGCAATTAATTGTTGTGTATTGATTTTACATTGAGCAACATTATTAAAATATTTTAGTATTTCCAAAAATTTTTCTGTAGATTCATTCCAGGTTTTCTACAGAGCTATTAATAATTATAGCATTTGGAAGTATTGGCAATTTGATTGTTTTTTATTTTTATAACTTTCATTTACTTTATCTTAAACTCTGCACTGCAGGACTTCTAATATAAAACTGCATAGAATTACTGATTTTGTTGCTGATCTTACAGTACAGCAAATGTTTCTAACATTTCACCATTATGTATGGTAGATTTTTGATAACTACCCTTGATCAGGTTAAAGATGATTACTTCTAGTCTTGTTTTATTTCTCTCTGTCTCTCTCTCTCCATGTATCTCTCTCTCTCTGTCTGTCTCTCTGTGTTTGTGTGTGTGTGTGCATGTATGTGTTTTAATATCTTGAAAAGATAATAAAGTTTTCAAAAGTAATTTTCTCATCTATTGAGATGATCATAACTTTCTGCTTTAATTCATTCCTGGTGTGTTACATTATTTGATTTCTAATATGAGACTAGCTTGTAGAACTGAGAGAAACCAATCTGGTCATGATTAGTTATCTTTTTATCTTTTTTAAGTGTTATTAATTTGTTTCACTAAAGTTTAAACTTTTGTATGTGTATGTTCATAATGAAATTGCGATTTTGTCTTCTGGTTCCATCATTGTTAGGTTTTGGTATCGAGGTTATACTAGCCTCATAAAGTGAGTTGGGGAATTCCCCCTTTCTTCTTAGTCTCTGGCTTCATTCCTATTCTCTGGAATAGTTTATGTAAGACTGGAAAACCTGTCTTTGCATGTTTGCTAGAAGTCACCTGAATTTCTATCTAAAATTCTTGTTTTCTTCATAGAAAGATTTTTAGCTGATTCCATTTCTTTAATGGTTATAGGACTATTAGGATGGTCTGTTTCTTCTTAAACCAGTTTTGGCCAGTTAATGTTTGAAAATAATTTGTCTATTTCATCTATGTTTTAAAAAAGAATTGTTCCTAATACCTTCTTATTATATGTTTATTTCTTATGGCATCTGTGGTATGTCTCCTTTTTCATTCTTAAAAATTTTGTTGTGTTTTTGGTTTTTTTTGCACATTTTCACTTTCTCTGGTTATCCTTGTTTCTTAGTTTTATTCATATTTCCCCCCAAACAACATTTTGCCTTGGTGATCTCATTATTCCATGTTTGGTTGCTAGCATGTGATTTTCTGTTCTAATTTTTATTTCTTTCGATCGGCTTTCTTTGGCTTTATTTTGATGCTCTTTTTCTAATGTGTTACTGTGTATGCTTAGATCATTAAGTCTGAAATTTTTTTTTCCTACTTAAAATGATTAAGGCTCTATATTTCTCCCAAAGAACTATTTTAGTTGTATCCAAGTTGTAATAGATCATATTTTAATTTTTTTCAGCTATGAATGTTTTAACGTTCCCATTATGATTTCTCCTTTTACCTATGAGTCATTTAAAGGAATGCTTTTGAATTTTCATGACCATATAAAATTGCCTAGTCATATTTTTATAATTAATCTTCTAATTTGTTGCACTGTGTTCAGCAAATGTGATCTGTTTGATAAAATTATCCAAATTTTATTAAAGCTATATTTGTGGCCTAGTAGTTGGTCAATCTTTATAAATATTTCTGTCATGCTTAGAAATGTATAAAGGCTGCAATTCTTAGTTGTGATATTCTATATATGTCCATTAGATCAAGCTCCTTTATTACACTGTTCACATCATCTATATTCTTACTGACTTTTATCTTTTTTCTTTTCCAATTATTGAGAGAGATATATGAAATTCTCCCACTATGCTTGGATATATGGCTGACTCTAAGAATGGAAAAGGAAAATGCAGCACTGGAGCATCTTATAGTTCTAGAGAGTAAGGAACAAAAGGATAGGGGCATGTTATCAAGTCATAGAGACTGTCTTAGTCAATAAAGCCTGTTGTAACAGAATACTATAGACTGGGTAGCTTAAACAACAAACATTTACTTCTCACAGTTTTGGAGGCTGAAAGTCCAGGATCAAGGTTCCAAAAGATTTGGTGTCTAGTAAGGGCCACTTCTTTGTTTACTGATGATTCTCTTCTCACTGTTTCCTCACAGGGAGGAAAGAAGGTGAGATAGGTCTCTGGGGTCCCTTTTAAAAGGGCATTAATCCTATTCATGAGGACTCCACCTTCATGACCTGATTACCTCTCAAAGGCTCCACCACCTAATACCATCACATTGGGGGATAGGGCCTAGACATATAAACATTAGGGGAATGCAAACAATGTAGTCCATTGCAGGGGCCATCCTGAAAGAGCTCCTGATGGCTCAAACCAGGACATTTTGAGTGATAAAATAAACAATGTAGTATTGGATTATAACTCAGAGTATAAAATACATCTACATGAGTACAAGATGATACAAATAAATTATTGAAATAAATAAATGGTGGAGGCTTCCTTAGAGAAAAATTCTAGATAATTTATCTAAATACATTACCTCCAGGAGGTGAAACTTAACTTGTCTCCCTTCCCACCACCTTCCCCCAACAATGTGGGCTGTGTTTAGCAACTGGCTTCCAAAGAATAGACAACGAAAAGGAGTCAAAATAACTTTAAGTGGAAAAACAGAGAAAACACTACCTTGTCCACGTGATTAAGATTAATATCATCAGTGATAAGTATCACAGATAGTCTGTACATGTTACTGTGCGCCATTCACAGTTATAAACATTGGGGATATGTGAGTGAACAAACTAGACAAAAATCCCTGCACTTATTATGTTTACATTGTGATAAAAGGAGATAGACAATTTTAGAAATAACTAAATTACGCAGACTGTTGGGAGGTGAAAGCTTTTAGGCTGATAAATAAAGGTGGGGAGAAGGAAGGGAGTGCTGTAGCAGCTTTAAATATATCAGACATCAGGCAAAGGTAACTCTTTTTTTTTTTTTTTTTTTTTTTGATACGGAGTCTTTCTCTGTCATCCAGCCTGGAGTGCAGTGGCACAATTTCGGCTCACTGCAACCTCCGCCTCCCGGGTTCAAGCAATTCTTTTGCCTCAGCCTCCCGAGTAGCTGGGACTACAGGTGCATGCCACCATGCCCGGCTAATTTTTGTATTTTTAGTAGAGACGGGGTTCACCATATTGGCCAGGCTGGTCTCGAATTCTTGACCTCGTGATCTGCCCGCCTTGGCCTTCCAAAATGCTGGCATTACAGGCGTGAGCCACTGCACCCGGCCAGGCAAAGGTAACTTTTAAGTAGACACGAGGAAGGAATGGAGGAACTATCCAAGCATCTGGGGGAAAGGTGTTCCAGGCAGAGGAAACACAAGATACAAAGGCTTTGGGACATAGGCATGCCTAGGTATTCAAAGACTATCAAGTAGATTGCAGCTGGAGTAGAATGAGGAAGTGAAAGAGGAGAAAATAAAAAGATAAAAGAAATGTATTATTTTCTCAAGCCTGCCATAACAAAGTACCAAAGACCATAAAATTATTTTCTCACAGTCTTGGAAGCTAGAAGTTTGAAGTAGAGGTGTTAGCCGGATTAATTCCTTAACTGCAGGTTCTGAGCAAGATTTTTTTTTTTTTTTTTTTTTTTTTTTTTTTTTTTTGAGACAGAGTCTTGCTCTGTCGCCCAGGCTGGAGTGCAGTGGCGGGATCTCGGCTCACTGCAAGCTCCGCCTCCCGGGTTCACGCCATTCTCCTGCCTCAGCCTCCCAAGTAGCTGGGACTACAGGCGCCCGCCACTACGCCCGGCTAATTTTTTGTATTTTTAGTAGAGACGGGGTTTCACCGTTTTAGCCGGGATGGTCTCGATCTCCTGACCTCGTGATCCGCCCGCCTCGGCCTCCCAAAGTGCTGGGATTACAGGCGTGAGCCACCGCGCCCGGCCCTGAGCAAGATTTTGTTTCATGCCTCCTTCCTAGTTTCTGGTGGGGCTAGCAATTTTGTGTTTCCTGGCTTGTAGACTACTCACTCCATCTCTGCCTCTATCTTTACATGGCATTCCCAGCTTCCTCCCCCACCCACACACCTGTATGTCTCTCTCTCTCTCTCTCTTTTTTTTTCTATTTTTTCTAATATAATCAGTCATAGGTTAGGACACATTTCTAGTCCAGTATGACCTCGTCTTAACTAATTACATCTGCAAAGGCTACTTCCAAATAAGGTCAGTTCCTGAGGTTCTAGGTGAACATGAATTTTTTGGAAACACTCTACAACCCAGTACAAGAAGAAACAAGGAACTACATCATTTAGGACTCTGCAGGCTATAGTAACACATTTGGCTTTTGCTCTGAAGGAGATGGGATGCCATAGGAGGGCTTTGAACAGAGAAGTGGCAAGATTTGAGTTAAGTTTTAAAAGATTTCCTCTGGCTGGTGCATTTAGAATAGACTGTATGGTGCAGAGGTAGAGAGAGGGGAGATTCATTGGGAAACTATTGCCCACTGTTATTACTAAAATAATTCAGATCCCAGAAGATGATGTGTTGGATTGAGAGCAGACACAAGAGAAGTGGAAATTTGTTATTGATATGGTTTGGTTCTGTGTCCAGACCCAAATCTCACTTTGAATTGTAATAATCTCCATGCATGGGAGGGACCCGGTGGGATGTAATTGAGTCATGGGGGTGGGTTTTTGCCATGCTCTTCTCATGATAGTGAATAAGTCTCATGAGATCTGACGGTTTTATAAAGGGGAGTTCCCCTGCACATATTCTCTCTTGCCTCAGCCGTGTAAGACCAGCCTTTTCCCTTCCACCATGGTTGGGAAGCCTTCCCAGCCATGCGGAACTGTGAGTCCATTAAACCTCTTTTTCCTTATAAATTACCCAGTCTCAGGTATGTCTTTATCAGCAGCAAAAAAACGGACTAATACAGTTATATTATAGATGTTTTGAAATTAAAGTCAACAGAATGTTCTGATGGATTGGAGGTGGCATGGAAGAATAGAGGAGTAAAGAAGACTCAAGACTTTTGACCAGAGTCACTGAAAGACAGGGGTTGCCATTAACTGTGATGGGAAGGGCTGTGAGACAAGTTTGAGGGAAATATTGGATGATTGATTTTTGACATAATTTCACATACCAATTAAATATGAAAGTGAATATGTCACTCATGTAACTGGCTGTATAAGTCTCCAGGCTGTAAAGAAGACTTGGATAGAGGCACAAGACTGGGTGTCATCAATATATAGGTGGTAACATCTATGAGATTGGAAGAGCTCACCAAAAAGTGACACTAGAAAAGAGAATGAGCACAAAATATCGAATCTTAGGCACACCAACAAGTTTAGGTTTGAGAAAGAAAGTAAAAGGGAGAAGCTGCTGAGGGAGAATGAAAATTGGGTGAGTGAAGTATATACTGTTATCAAGTGAAGAAATTGTTTCAAGGAAAAGGGAATGATCAACTCCGTCAAATGCTTGGAGGAATATAAGGGAGGCCAAATAGTGAACATTGAAGTTAGCAATGGGGAGGTCACTAGTGACCTTAATAAAAGCACATTTAGTGGAGTGGTGGAAGTGAATGACAGATAAGAAAACTGTGAGAAAGTAGCAAGAGAAGAATTGAAGTGAGCAAGCATGATGAACTTGGTGTGAGGTTTTCCTATAGAGCATTTGAGGCAATTTTCCTCTTCAAGGGACATTTGTCAATGTTTGGAGACATTTTTGATGGTCACAACTGCAAAAAGGGGATGCTCTTGGCAACTAGGCAATAGAGAATGGGAATGCTGCTAAACATCTTACAATGCACAGAACAGCCTTCACTGATATATACAGACCATTCTCCATTCCTCCTCACTAAAATTCAGCTTTGAAACTGTTGTCAACTATTTCTAACATCCACTGTCTTTTTATGCTGTAGTCACTTAATATCTCTTAGATCATTTCCTCTCATTTTTAGGACATTTACCTCTTGGTCACTGTCATTCTCTCCAGAAATTTCCATCTTAGTTCTTGTAGCTTTCAATATCTACATAGAAAATTTTTCCAACATTCTTGGCCTCTCACTTCTTCCCATTAGTGAACTTGACCCCCAGCTCATCAACCCCACAGTCTTCTCCTAGAAGTTCTTTATGAACACTAACTACAAGCCCCTCATAAACTGTTTTGAGTAGGCCACTTTCTGGCCACTGCCTTCTGTCTTTCCAAGCTCTTTCCTCTTCTGATTCCAATTGTGTGACTCTATGAAGACCTACAATTTACAGTTTTGGTCATATTTTAATTACCTCTCACCCATTTCCTGTTCTCACTTTTCTCTTTATCTAGCCAAATCATTATAATCACTCCATTGTAAACAGCTTTGTCCTCCTTATTCCTATCTTAATTCATTTTATTCACATTGTCAAAACCCAGCCCTTGTTAAATCCAGTTCTTTGCCTACTTTCTTCCTGTACTTCTGAAGCTACATGATGGTACTTAAAATTAATGACTACAAACCTCAGGAAGATTATTAATGCTGCCAGCACTCATAATATAGTTTCCAATTCTATTCAGTCTTAAACTCTTTTAACAATTCCATACTTTTTTAACCCCCTCACCAATTCTTCCACCAATCTATACCTTACTCTCCATTGGTGACCTTGCTTCCAACTTTATGGAGAGAGTGGTTCTCAGAATAGAACTTCTACAGGTTCCCTCTTCTGCATCTCTCCGCCCTACCAACATGTATACCCATATACTTGGCTTTTCCTTCTGGTGCTAGAGTTGAATTTTTTGAACCCTTAAATCTAAGCACAATCTGGACACTAGATTCCATCTATCTTTGATTTCTAGTTGTTTTATATTTTGTCTTTTAGGAAAGTTTTCATTTTGTATCTATTTGTGAATTTAAAAGTTTATCTTTCTTCAGATTTACTGGGCTTCTTGAATCTATGAATGATATCTTTGAATAATTCTGAAAAAACTCACTTTTATTATCTTTTGGACTCGTAAATAAAAGGGATAATATCTATTATCCAGACAGCCTGGGTCTTTGGCTAGATAATTATTAGAATTTATTCCTCCTTTCTTCATGTTATGTAATAGCAATCTGATATTTTTCAATTATTTTCTCTCTGTACTATATTCTGAAGAATTTCTTAAAATCTGCCTTACTGTTCACTAATTCTCTTTGCCTGTATCTTATCCCTTCATTGAGTTTCAAATTTCAGTTTATTAACATTTTTGTTTTTAAAATCCTATTTTGTTCATTTTAAAGAACTTCCTGGTCATTTTTTGAGACTCTTTTCACTGATTGATCCTGCTTTCAATTTCTTCTTTGTTTGCTTTAAACCTAATAACATTACTTATCTTTTATTATCTGATGATTTCTAAGAATATAGGAATGCTTTATGTATTATATGTATCTATGATATTTTATTTCTCTTTTTCTTGCTTATTGTGACTTGTTTCCTTGTGCATTTTGTGAATCTTTTTTTATCATGAGAAATTACTATAATTGCAATTATTTGTTGAAGTTCTCTGTATGAGAATTCTGTGAACTCTGAATATGGGTTCTACTACCAAGATTTGTGTTTGCCTCTGCCAGTTACTAATTCAAACTTGCAAGTTACAATTATTAGTTTGCGGTTTTGGGAACCATTAGATAGTCTATATTTAGTCCCCAAATCCACCTATGTCCAGGCTGGTGTCTGCAAGTTACTGGTGAGAATTTTTTGTTGTTTTCACACAGGTATAGGCTGGAAAGTCAATCTTTCTTGCTGACTGCCTCTTTCTCTCTTTTCTATTTCCCTTTTCCTGAAGGTGAAACACTTCTGAGCTTTGTGTGGCTTGGTTCAAGTTTCTATAGCCTGAAGCATTGTGCCCAGTCTCTCTCATATTTTAAAGTTCTGTATACCCAGGGATCTGTATTTTTCTTTAGGATATTCCAGTGGCTTTTGTGCTTGCTTTTTCCTTGATTAACGTTTCCACTGTGTTCCTAACTTCATCAGGTTTCCTTACTTTCTTGTAGGCTCATTTAATTATTTAAGATATTTCTTGCCCTCATTCTACCATTTAAAATTCTGCCTACACATTTTTAGGTGTCAGTGTCAGGATATTTTTAGCATCTCTATAGTACTCCTGTGCCAGAAGTGGAAGTCCCATAAGTGCTTTCTAACAACTTTTAATAAACATTTCAAAAATTCAATAATGGTAAATAAATACTGCAGGATAGGGGTCAGCAAGCTAGGGCCCATGGGCCAAAGAGTCTGCTACCACTTTTTGCATGGTCTGCGAGCAAAGAATGATTTTAACACTTTAAAAGGGTGGAAAAAAAATCAAGGAAGAATAATATTTCATGACGTATGAAAATTAGATGAAATTCAAAATTCAGTGTTCATAAATAAAGTTTTACTGGAACACATTCAAAGTTTTATTGGAATACATTCCAGCCCATTTGTTTATGTGTTGTCTGTACCTGCTTTAATACTACAGTGGCAGAGTTGAGTTGTTTTGACAGAGACAATGCGTCATGAAAACTTAAAATATTTATTATTTGGTCCTTTACAGAAAAGACCTTTGCTATAAAATAATACCTTTCAGGTTTACCCAATTCAAAGAGCTTAGAAATAAAATTGCTAAGAAAAGGATAGTTCCTTTGTAATTCATGAGTGTGGGTGTTTATTTACTCCAAGTTATTTCTTGTTCAAACACTCAGATTCTCTTTGGCACTGATGATCAATATTTTTATGCTACAAATCACATTATTTTTAATGCTGTGTTCTCCTCATTATGTGTTACTGAGATTACCTTGGCTGCATGGCAACCAACAGAATTCTGAAATTTCTAACTATGTTGCTTCTCCCATTTACGTTTGCCATTTTTAAAAACAGAAAACATCTAAGTTCCATATAATGCAGGAGTTTTCTATTTACTCTGCAGAAGCATGTGACATGAGAAGGCAGTAAAGTCTACAGCTGATATACATTAGAGTATCTTGTCTTATTTCTAGGAGTTAAAACCATTTTGTCAAATAGCTCAGCATAACCTTCCTTCTTTGGCAGAAATTGGACTTCCAGCAGCCGATGGCAAAGCTGTTATCCAGAGGAAGGAATGACGTGTATATTTATTGTATACAATCATCAACCCTATTACAAATGTGCCTGAAATCATCTTCCATAGTATATTTTTAAATCTTTCACTCATCCTGGTGAGATTTCTAAGTCAATCTGTGTGGATAAACTGAAATTAGAGAAATTAAATAACCTCTTATTCTAAACCTTTTGGCTTTCCATTAAACAATAACTGTGGCAATTTAATAAGCTACTTTTGGTACAGAGAGGAGACCCTGTAGAGATTCTGAACCATTGATATTTCATTTAATGGGGACCTCACATTCTACTGAACTTTGATTTAGGATCCCATGAGAAAATCTAGCTGGAAGAGGTTTGTTTCCATGATGAGCAGGAGATAATGAAGCAGTGGGTCAAAGAGAGCCTGGGAAGAAAGAGCCAAGGACAGAATGAATTTGCAGAAGGATAGTAACATTGCAGATCCAAGTTAAGAGAGGCAAACAAAAACATTTTTTTGAGACAAAAATTAACCTCATGGCTGTTCACAGAAAGGATTGTGCATAAAAGCCATATACATGGTGCTGTCAGCAGTGGGGTGTTTTGTATGTGGGTGAGGTCTAGTTTCCTGCTTTTGTTTTTTTGAGTCTGGCTTTTTTAAAATAAGATTTATTTTTATTAGTTAGAATGCTGTTTTGGAAAATGCTACAACAAAAAGTGAATTTAGTAGGATCTCTGAAAAAATTGAGGACTTTCCTGGTAAGTTAGAGAGAGAGAAAGGCAGGAATCCTTCTGGCAAAATCCCAGTAAGGATTTCCTCTCATTGTAACCATCTTTTCCATTTCCTTATTAAAACTAGTTAGCTTTATTTACGCCAGTGCTTCACAATCCTGGTTGCACCGTACATTAGCATTACCTGGGGAACTAGGGAAGATACATGTATGCAAGGTCCACCGCAGACCACTTAAGTTCAAATTTCTGGGTTTGGGGTTACCGAAGAATTGCCATTAAAAAAGTTCCCCAGGTAATTCTCATGTGCCACCATGGTTTACAACTACTGATCTAGACCAGGGTTTCTCAGCTTCAGAACTATTGACATTTCAGGCTGGATAGTTTTTCGTTATGGGAGCTGACCTGTGTGCCAAAATGGGATTGTGATGATGATGATGATGATGAGTACTTTTTCTGTGTTAAGTACTAGTCTAAACCCTTTAGATTTTTTATCTTTTTAAAACAGTCACAGATAACCCTATAAAGGCAAGAAGCCCACATTCACAACTGCTTTGTCCTGCTTGGGAGGCACTGTCGTATAATGAGACAAAAACCTTTTGAGTTAGAAAATCTGGGCTTGAATCCTAAATATACCAACTGCTATATGTGTGCACTTCAATCAGTAATCAATTCTGAACTCTTGGCTCGTAACCTTTGAGCTGAAAGTATCATGCCTACAATGTGTGAGAAGTTAAACTTCTGTAGAGATATAAAAGATATTTTAAAAAATCTAAATTTTACTTCCATACAATGAGATGAAAAATATACTAGGTGTGATTAATGTCAGGTTAGACATTGCAGAAAAAATAGTAAACTTCAAGACACAAAAGTTGGGAAAAAAGGATATTAATAGTAATAAAAATAAACAGAGCATTAATGAGCTGTGGGACTACTTTAAGTCACCTAATATGTATATAATTGGAGTTTCTGAAAGAAGAGATGGAGAAAAGTATTTGAAGAAATAATGGCTGAAAAGTTTTCAAATTGAATAAACTCACAGATCCAAGAAACTCAGGGAATCCAGGCACAAGAAGCATTGAAGAAAATCATACCAAATTACATCATAAATAAATAATCACAACCAAAGATAAAAACAAAAACTGACAGACAAAAAGCTATATGATATACAGAAGAACAGGGATAAGAATAACAGCAGATTTCTCATTGGAACAAATACATGTGAGAAGATAGTGGTGTAACGTCTTTAATGTTTTGAAAGAAACAATATGCCAACCTAGAATTATACTCAATGAAATATCTTTAAAAAATAAAGGTGGGGGATGGAGGAGGGAGAGCATTAGGAAAAATAGCTAATGCATGCTGGGCTTAATATTTAGGTGATGGGTTGATAGGTGCAGCAAACCACCATGGCACATGTTTACCTATGTAACAAACCTGCACATCCTGCACATGTACTCTGGAACTTAAAATAAAAAAATGGTAAAAATAAAGACCACTGTGTTCCAAGAATATGAAATAAAATTCTTCAAATAGAAGGAAAATGAACCATATGGAAATATGGAGCTGGACAAAATAATATTTTAAACACCCCAATTAAGAGCAGAAATTGTTAGATTTGAAAAAGCAAGACCTAAGAATATATTGCCAAAATAAAACATACTTTAAATATAAAGACAGAAATAGTATAAAAGTAAAAGGATAGAAAATTAGAAATAGACTAACAATAATCACAGGAAAGCTGAGATTTCAGAGCAGATTTTCACAGCACTCCAATAAGCAGGAAGGTAGGGTTCTCCAGGTTCTCCAGTGAAACAGAATGAGACAGAGTGTGTGTGTGTGTGTGTGTGTGTGTGTGTGTGTGTGTGTGTGTGTGGACAGAGAGAGAGAGAGAGAAATTTAAGGACTTGGTTCCCATGATTGTGGACGCTTGCAATTCTGAAATCTGCAGGTCAGGTCAGGTCAGCAACTGGAGACCAGAGAAGATCTGATTTTCAGTCCTGAGTCTAAAGACTGTCAGAAGCCAGAAGATTCCTTCCTTGAGATATCTGTCTTTTCTCTTAAGGTTTTCAATTGACTGGATGAGGCCCACCTATATTATGAAAAGCTGCCTTATTCAAAGTCTACTGATTTAAATGCTAATCACATCTTAAAACTACCTTACAGAAGCATCTAGGCTGGTGTTTGACCAAACAAGTGGGAACCATAGCATAGTCAAGTTGATATATTAAATTGACTAATACAGGTAGGCAATATTTTTAGCTGATGAAATAAACTTAGGCTCAGAGAGATTAAATAACTTTCTCATAGACATTTGACTAGTAGGTAGCAGAAATGAGATTCAAACTCAAGGAGGCTACCTCTGATAAATATGCTGTTTCTCAACATGCAAAGCTGAGAAATGTAAATGTTACAATGCAGAATTATTTCTTTTTGTGGTATAAACTCCATTAGACCAAAACCATCTTTTAGATAGTGTGTGTATATACAAACCCTCATTGAGCCTCTGTATATTACAAATTTCAGGGCTTACTAGTATTTCTTAGATTATATATGTCAAGTGAGATCAAATTCTTCAAGTATAAAGTTTACTTCAGTATTATTTTGCGCTTAGCCCATGGATGAATGCAGAGTAAAGGTGAATCCACAGTGATAATAATACCTTATATACATTATAGGTTCATTATGAACAGATACACTTTACATGCATTATATTATTTATTCTTAGAACATGGTAGGTGCTTTGTAAACTTTATTTCCATCATAACTCTGTGTATTATGTCAAATGTGATAAAAATGGACATATTATTTAGAAAAAGTATACCTTTTCACATATTGTATTAGAAGATTTCTCTTACGTATTTCTGCTTACTTTTTGTATTCTGCAATACAATAATAAAATATTTTCAAACATACTTGATAAAAATTTGAACTGCAGGAATGTAATTTTGTGTTTTTTTCCAATGACAGTTGCTTAGTTTTTTATGTGCTGTAGAATTCACAGAGCTTAACTGGCATATTGTACATTTATGTTTTATGGTACTGGGCTCAAAATAGTTAAATACTAAAATTCCTGAGCTAATTCATGCAAAGAAAATATTTAATAGCGAGTTACACAGGAGGAATAGTGGTGACCTTATTTTTTCTAGTGTGTTATTCATTTTCAGCTCAGAGCCAAACTTGAAGTCCCTCTTCCTGCCAAAAAGAAGTGGGATAACCCCCTGTCCATCACACAGCAGAGCAGAATACTGATTCTGCAGAACATAGGCAGTCAGCCAAAGAATAAAGAAACAGAGAACAGAATCTGCTCAGCCATGCTAGGAGGAACCAAAATGAACTCCCATGGAAAAAATCTGTAGAAGACATTTATTAGATGGTATTGGAAGGTTTATAAGCACTCTCATACTTAAGGTGAAGTTCTATCAGGTAGAGAATGAAGCTATAGTTTTTCTGCAATTAGTAATAGGTATGCTGATGGAAGGCAGTATCATTCAATTACAGGCTAGTATGAGTCAGTAATGGAGCTGGACACACAGACTAGAATCAGCCACAAGTGAATGAATGAGCAAAATCTAGAATAGACTAGAATAGAAAATCTCTTAGTCAAACCAGGTGAAGAGTTTTCCTAGTTCATTAGAAAAATGAATGTGCAAATTAATATTCATTTATTTAATCATTCAGTATATATATTTTCTGAGCATTCTTGGTCTAGATGCTAAGAGAAAATTGAACAAAGCAGATATGGTTCTTACCTTTTTTGGAGATACTGTCTAAGGAAGGAGGCAGATTAATACAATGATCAAAATACAAATGTGAAATCACAACTGTGAAAAGTCCTTTCATCCTAGAGCATTTGCTCCAGCTGTCCCCTCTGCCTGGAACATGCTTCCCCAGCTGTCTGTTTAATTCTTTCACCTTTTTCAAGTGATTGCTCAAATTTTATCTTCCAAATAAAGCTTACCTTGATCACTCTATTAATACTACAGCCTTACACTTTTCCCTTAATGGCACTCTGAATTCCTCTGCCCTACACTACTTTTTTTGCATAAAATTTATCATCTTTTAACATCTGATGTGATTTACTAATTTACAAACCTATTGGTATTATCTGTCCACTGCTAGAATATAAGCTTCTTGAAGACAGTGACCTGTGTTGTTTCATTAGGTTCACATTCCAAGTACCTAGGACAGTGTCCAACACACAGGAGATGCTCAATATTCATTAAAGGAGTGAACAAGTGAGGTCACAAGAGTCTATCAAAATATCTTGCAGTGGTCAAAATAGTAAAAGTTGTAATAAATTACTATACATAACTTCACAGTAAAATGTATATTGTTTTCTTTTCATGTAATTCACTGAGGTTTTCAATTTTCTCCATTAATTTTTTCATGAAGTTCCAAGAATCATAAAACAAACAAACAAACAAACAAACAATAAAACAAGACAATACCTATCTGACTCTTCATTTCAATTCTGATCCTCACATTGTGCCAACCAGGAAAGTGGCTTCCTTGCAGAATGTCACTTTAACATGATTTATTTTTATCTGAGGGTGCCACATGTTACACACATTTAACATTACATACCTAGATGTATATGACATGGGATAGTATACTTTGTTTTCACAATGTATCACAATGCTTCCTTGGCCTCTGATGTCTCAGTTCTTTTGTGCTATTCATCTTTTCACATCTAAAATTTTACTACAATACTTAACTTTCTTGATCTTCTCCATTATTATTTTCATAAAATTGTAATTTATGAAACATTTCCATGGTTTACAGAGGAGAATATTTGAAATCACAATTGTCCTGGAAAATGTAGGTTATATGAGCACAATCCCTGCAAAGGATCTGCAACATAGAGTTAAGCATTGATTATATGCTAGCATCTGGGGTTTTAAAAAATGAGAGGACATAGAGGATCCTCAAAGAGTTGCTTGGCTCTATTAGCCTTGGAATTGAGCCATTAGAAATGCTTCACTGCAGCCTAAATTCTGGGCCAGTCATGTGTAAGTGTTGTCATAATTTAAGGAGCCTGGTGAAGCTAACATTTTTTTTCCTTCTTCTCTGCTGGTCCCCTTGGGAATTACCTATATTCTGCAGAAATCAAACCTACATGCAACTGGTTATCTTTATGCACACAAATGGGGTTCATTGACATAGGTTTCCTTAAAAACCCCATCCTTCACCCCCAGACACTTAATAAGAAAGTCCTTTAACCTTAGATACAAGTAGAATTATACGTGTTTCATGAAATTTGTCGTTGTCATTGGATCCTGTCACACAGTGGTTTGGCATGAATGGGGCATATTGGTGTTGAGAGGATGAGAGATGAGGTTGGAGAGTTAATGAGGAACCAAATCAGAAGAGTATGTTATGCTACGCTGGGGCCTGTGAACTTTATCCTGAGGGTAGAAGGGTTCCACTAAGCATTTTATTTCATTGTTTTTAAAAATCAGGGTAATGATATAAGCAGATGCATATTTGGACAGTCAGGATGGATGCAGTGTGAAGAATGGATTGAAGGGGTGGCAGGAGGAGGTGCAGGACAGTGAACTTGAGGAATAAAATGGTGACAAGTTAGAAAAAGGGCAAATGGAGAAGGAAGTATAGAAATTGCCTTGAGGTGGGTGTGCGGAGAAACTGGAGAAGGGAGTAAGAGAAGAAACCTGTATTTCTGGCTTGAGCATTTAGGTATCACTCTCAAAGCAAATAACTCACTTGGGGAAAAGATGATGAATTCATCTGTGGACGCATTGAATTTAGATGTCTGTGAGTCATCAAAAAGTATCTATTTAGACGGTTAGGTATTCATCTCTGGAGCCCATGAGAGATATTTGGATGAGATAAAGATTCGGTATTTATTAGCACATAGATGTTAATTGAATCCACAGTTAACTGAGACAGTATTTACCAAGGAGACGGTGTGGAGTGAGAGGAAAAGAAGTCAACATTTGGTTTGCTAATACAGGGACATATAGAGAAGAAAATCCTGTAATGAGATTGAGATGGAGATGCCAGAGAGTAGGAGGAAAACCAGAAGAGTTCATGTTCATAACCAATGAACTCATTAGAGCTCCCATCATTTGTATGGATCTTGAGTTTCCCAGGCAAGAACAGAGTGGAGAGGTGGATAGTTATTGCCAAGGTCTTTAAAGAAGTAGGAGAAGTAGATTATGTTGACTCATAGCGACTAGGAGAAGAGAGTGTGCTATGACTTGATGGCACATTCTTCACGGTGGTAATAATGAAGAGCTTGCAGCATGAGAAAATGAGAAACTTTTTGAGAGGACTGCAGAAAAAACAGTATTTTGAGAGGAGAAACAAACTTAAAGGCATGAAATGGGTGAAGAAAACAGAGGACTGGATACAGAGGATTTTTTTTACTTAGGATTTGACATAGTGAAAAGTTTGGGATAGAGGGTAGCAATAGGTGACTGTGTTAAGCAAAAGCAGCACAGAATATTGTGGTTGCTGACATGGGAGATGATAGCAAACCAGAAGGTTTTCCTTGGGTACTGTCTAAAGATAGCAGGGATTTGGAGTAGGTGGGTTTATCTGTTGGTAAAGTTGCTAGATAATCAGTCTTGGCTCTAACCTGTATGTGGCTAGAGTTCTTGTGTTTCTTATGGCATTATCTTTGCCCAATAGTCCTAGTCTTTGATAGATGAGTAGGTCTAGAGGTGAGATAAACAGCCCAAGGTCTGGTTTGAGGGCGTGACCTACATGAGGGACGCAATTTTCTCCAGAGTGGCAAATAAATGTTGGGTTCTATGTGCCAACCCTTGAACTACATGGAACACGTTTCATCTCAATTTTCAGATCACAATCTGAGGTCTGAAGCTTTTCTTGTCCCTTAAGTCATAGTTACGTAATCCTTTTAAGTGCTTCTATAGTATCATAAAATTTCCTCATCACAGCACTTGTCAAGATATATTATTTCTAGTTTATATAGCTATATCTTCCACTAAGCCATACTATTTAATGGACATGAATTTTCTCATCCGCTGATATATTTCAAAAATCCAGCACAGTGACTGACATATTTCCACACACACACATACCCACACACGTATATACATATATATTTTTGAAGTATGTGGGTGGAGCTGGAATATCCTGCAGGGAATGCACCTTCTATCTGAGGAACTGTTGTGTGACTGTGCTCAGGGGACATGTTTTACAGTAAGGTGAAAGTTTGCCTGGCTCAGGGTCTAGGGAGATGCATGGAGCAGAGGGGTTGCGGGTCTTGTCAGCAGCTCGCATGGATTATGGTCAAAAGAGGGCAGCAGAGGGTCACAGACGAGAGGTGATTTTAAGTGGTGCAGAAGAGTGGGTGGAAGAGAATACAAAATCAGGAGTGAGAGTTTTGGGTGCCAGGGATAAGGGTGGTGCTCTTTATAGAAGCTAATCCTGTTGGGGGGAGGTTTAGTAAGGAGAGAGCTGGGGAATCCCCAGGTGTAAAGAGGATGCTTAAAGGAAAACTAGAATATTAAAACCAAGGAATGAAGCAACCCTCCGTCCTGCTTGTTATGTAGCAGATATCAGAGTTTGACCTTGAAAGTGTGGTCTGCCATTCATAGGAAGGAGGGATAAAAGATGCGGAAGTTTAGTGGAGTGGTATACAAGAGAGATGTGCCCAGGAAATCCTGGAAAGTTTGCCTCTTAGAAGTAGATTGAATCTGTCTGTTCTGAATGGTCCAAAGAGAGACAAATGGCCTCATGAGTGGGGAGGCAGGGAGAGCAATTTCAATTCTAAACAAGAACTCTTTACTTCTCTAGTCTTGTCTCATGCTACTCTCCTCCTTTGTGAACTCTGCTGTAGTCATTACTGGCTTCCTTTCACTTCCTTAAACAATTTTCTGTTACTTCACTATTAGCATGGTTGGATTTTTGTCATCCTTCAGATCTTGATGTAAATGCTATTTCTGAAGAGAGTTTTTTTCTAACTATCCTTTGCTCTTCACTCTAAACACCCATTACCGTTTATATTTACGGTTTTTCTCTTGTTTATCGTCTGCCTCCTCCTGGAGAGTAAGGAACATGTGTGTTGTACTCTCCAGGGAATATCCAGCATCTAGTATCATATCCAACTTGTGATAGTGGTTTCATAAGTATTTTCTGGACAAATATACTGAACAAGTTGCCCTTGGAGGGAGGAAGTTGCCTGTGATGGAAGGTATTTAATATGGACTGGACATGCAGTTGTCAAGATGCTGTATAATATTCAAGGATCAGATAGATTGTTACTGAAATGACATTTAAAGTTGCTTTCTGTCATTCCATTCTATTATTCCAACAAATGAAGAGTATAAAATTAATGACTCTAAAATGGAGGCAATAATGGCTCCATTGCTCATCAATATGAACAGAAAAGAGAATAAATGTGGCTAATTAGAAGGTAATGAAGATCTTACCTACTCATTAATAAAAGTAGAAAGTGTAATTTGTAAGGAATCTGAACCTTAAATAAATCAGTAGACTTGGGTAACTTTCTAGGGAAATATTTAGGTGCTAATCCAAAAGCAGATTTGAAAATAGCTACCTTATTCTCTTCGTATTTTTAATAACTAGCACATTATCTGGCACATAATAAATGAACCTAGGATTAAAATGGTAACTAATATAAGGGCTGTGCTGATTATTAGTGTCAGGTTGGTTGTTTGAAGGGCTCATGGCAGCGGTAGTAGTAGAGTGATCTCTAAGTCGAACAAGAGGAACATGATGGCTACTAGGAAGAATTTTATGGAAAAGGGGAGGTGGGCGGAAGTTATTGGGTCGAATCCGCATTCATAGGGGTCAGATTTTTCTATATAAATATTAAGTTGTGGGAGCCAAAATGTTATTATTATTAGTAATAGGGCCAGTAAGGTGTCGGTTATTCAGGCTAGTGTCAGGTTGATTACTCTCTTTTGAATATTATCAAAACTAATTGATTGGAAGTCAATGGTACTGTTTATACTTCAAGAGTAGGATCCTCCTCAGCAGATAGAGAGGTATAAGAATAGTCATACTACATCTACAGATAACTATTTGCTCAATAAATAAATAAATAAATAAATAAATAAATAAATAAGTGAACTTTTGGAAACCGCATCCCTACACTTTCATAAACCTTTCCAGGTATAGAGTCTGCATTAGAGTATTCCCTCTGCTCAGTATCATTTGCCCTTTTTATAGCTTAACACCTTCCCGTAGACAGTATATTTACCATGTTACCAAAGGGAGGAGAAAATGATGCAGGAATGAAGATAGTCATGCTCCTCATTGCTGCATATAGACGCAGGATTGCTGAAAACATTTTTAGTTTTTTGAAATTTTTTATGAGTTGCTTTTACGCTTTGTTAAAATTGATATTTAAATAAATGCCATAAAAACTAATGCTCATTAAGATGATAGACATGGTTTGGATAAGTAACTTTCCTTCAAGTTTTTTTAGCATACATGTATCACCAAATGTGAAATCTTAATAATAAAATATATATATATTTTAGTATTATCTATTGAGATAGACAGACTTTAAGATGGCCCCCATGATTCCCATCTCCTGGTGTTCATAAGCTTGCATAATCCTCTCCTGTGTATGAGTGGGATTTGTGACTTGCTTCTCACTAATAGCATGTGGTAAAAATGATGGGATGCACTCCTGTTATTATGTTGTTATATAAGAATTCGTCTTGCTAATAGGCTTGCTGTACAGTCTGTCCCTTGTTTACTAGCTTTGAAAAAGCGAATTTCCATAAATCCTGCAGGCACAAGTAAACGAATTCTGTCAGCAACCTGAGGGAGCACAGAAGAAGATCATCCCCAGTCAAGCCTCCAGATGAGAACCATGTTTTGGCTGACATCCTGTTTGCAGCCTTGCAGATAACTCAACTGAAAAATACTCAAGATTCTTGATTCACAGAAATTGTGAGATAATAAATGTGTGTTTTTTTAAGTCACCAGGTTTGTGGTATTTTGCTATGAAGCATTGACAACTAATATAGCTGTGAGCACATAGAGCAAAGTATACAGCAAAACCCTAAAAGAGCTATTTAGTTATGCTTCATAGCAACAAAGAAACAGTACTGTATCCCATTATAATATCTGAAATACATGATTTCTACACCTCTGTTCCATGTTAAATCATTACTAAAGTTGTTGGATGGTCTATTTTCTAGGATTATTCACACCTGATGGCTATGTCTTTCCCTAAATTTCTTATTGTCTGACAGTTGTCTCAGATTGCTACACAAACAGATATGGAGTTATTAGCCATTTGCCATGAGTCAGACTATGTGATAGGCATTTTTATTGCAATTTGTTAATTTTTGCAACAGGCCTATAAGACTGCAGTTTTCAAAGTCCCAGGGCGCTGTGACAAATTAATAGAGGCACAATTAGATATTTTAAGTTTTTGAGGGGAAGCACAGTAATAACTGAAATCTGCCAGATACCATACGAACTACTAGTTCAATATAGTTCAGTTTCCCCATTAGATTGTGCAACATTTCCTTGATGACATCATATCTTTAAGAAGCAGGAATTTGAGAGGGATTTCTGTGATAAAATGTTAAATACTGCACAAACATCAATATAGAACAAAAAATGAGGGTGAGAGTTTCCAATGTGTTTCCAAAATTTGAGAACTAATGCATTGTCCAATAAGCACATTAGTTAGTAATAAAATGAACAATATTGTTTGTCTTTCAGTATATATATATTACCAAAATGGCTACTAAATAGGATACAAATACTCATTAAGTTATTTGTACTTAACTATTTAATAAACAGAACTGATAGGCGTTTCTTTTGGCTTATACATGTCATAAAAAAATTAGGACACTAAGAGTGTTGTGAGCCAAGGAAGAGCTACAATATCTCTTCCCATCCATTGGAATGGCTACTGTTAAAAAACAAAAAACCCAGAAAATAACAATCATTGGTGAGGATGTGGAAAAATTGGGAATTTTTTGCAGTGCTGGAGGGAGTGTAAGATGGTGTAACTGCTATGAAAAACAGTATGGATTTTCCTAAAAAGTTAAAAATAGAACCACTGGGCCACCACAGTGCCCATGCCTGTAATCCCAGCACTCTGGGAGGCTGAGGCGGGCAGATCACTGTAGCCTAGGAGTTTGAGACCAGCCTGGCCACCATGGAGAAACCTCGTTTCTACTAAAAATACAACAATTAGCTGGGCATGGTGGTGCATGCCTGTAATCCCAGCTACTCAGGAGGCTGAGGCAGGAGAATCCCTTGAACCTGGCGGTTAGAGGCTTCAGTGAGCCAAGATCATACCACTGCAACTCCAGCCTGGGCAACAGAGTGAAACTCTGTCTCAGAAAACAAAACAAAACAAAAACAAACAAACGAACTTCAGGAAATATATCCCACAGAACCGAAAGCAGAGTCTTGAAGAGATATTTGCCCCCACATGTTTATAGCAGCACCTATTCACAAAAGCCGAGTGGTATAAGCAGCCCAAATGTCCATCAGTGGATGAGTACATAAACAAAATCCAGCATATACATACACTGAAATAATATTCAGCATTAAAAAGGAAGGAAATCCTGTCATGTGCTACAACGTCAATGAATCTTGAAGACATTATGCTAAGTGAAATAAGCCAGGCACAAAAAGACAAATAGTTTAGGCTTCTCTTTATATGAGATGTCTAAAGTAGTCAAATTCATAGAAACAGAAAGTAGAATAATAGTTCTCAGAGGCTGGAGAGAGGAGGAAAATAGAAATTGTAGTGTAATGGACATGGAGCTTCAGGTTTGCGAGATGAAAACGTTCTGAAGATCTGTTTTACAACAATGTAAATATATTTAACACTACCAAACTGTACACTTAAAAATAGCTAAGACGGTAAATTTTATGTTATATGATTTTTTTTACCACAATAAAAAATTCATCACTTAAATGTTTATTCAGAGAGGCTGATTTCAGATTCCAGATTCACAATATGGAACATTTTAATTTATGAAACTTTTGGACGATGCTTCTTTGCTCACCTGTCATTACTGTGCTATGGGAATAATGCAACGGAAGGTCAGGACAAAATAGGCTTGTTTATGTAGCAATAGTTTTAAGAATACCCACTTTTTCTTCCATGAAAGTGTGTCAAAACCAAATACAGAAGAAAAAGAAGTATTCTGTATTTCAGGTTTCCTGTTTGAGTTACATTAAGATAAGCATGATTTTTTATAACTGCAGGACTTAATCTAATGTCTACGGTCACGCTACTATAACTCCCAATTTTAACTTTAATCTTTTTTTAAAATTTAAGTTTTTATTTATTTAGTTATCTTTGAGACACAGTCTCAGCTCTGTCACCCAGGTTGGAGTGCAGTGGCGTAATCATGGCCCATCGCAGCCTTGACCTCCTGGGCTCAAGCGATCCTCCTACCTGAGACCCACCAAGTAGCTGAGATGACAGGCACAAGCCACTATGCCTGGCTATTTTTTTCTTTCTATTTTTTGTAGAGACTGGGTCTCCCTATGTTGCCCAGGTTGGTCTCAAACTCCTGGGCTCAAGCAGTCCTCCTGCCTTGGCCTCCCAAAATGCTGGGATTACAGGTATAAGCCACTACACACAGCCTAAAATTTAAGTTTTTAGAAAAGCAACCCATAAATACATTTATGCTATAAAAGATTAAAGCAAAACTTAAGAGTGTAGAATGAGATGTGAAAACTATGCTGTATTTCTACCCATCTCATCCCACTCGACTGTGTTTAATATGTATCTTTCTAGGCATTTATCTGTGCATTTCATACATGCATATGTACATATATGAATTTGTCTTTCTTTAAAACAGAGAAGACTTAATACACTCATAATTCTGAGCTTAATTTTACACTTCACGTAATTCTTTGAGGCTTTACCATATTTCTGCATAAGAGCTACCTAATTCTTGCTTAAAATGACATTGTATATCATTCAATAAGTATATCATTCAATAAGTATATCATAATTATTTGACTACTGTTCCATCAGTGGGTTTTCTGGATGTTTAAAAGAAGACTCTATCTCAGTGCAGCATAGTGGAATAGACATACATTTTCTAGAAACTGGAAATTGTGTTGAAAATTGCTGGTCTGTCTTTCAGCTGTAGGTTCCAAGAATGGAACTCGACTGTCATATAAGTGACAAAGTGATCAAAGCCAAAGGCAAAACCCAAACTTTCTCTAATGACATGAATTGAAATTCACTAATCTTATTTTCTTTGAATATGAATAAAGAGAAAAAATAAGTCTATAAATTAATGAAATAAATCGGAAGAAAGGAAACATTCTAAATACTCAGAGAAGAAGCATGCTTTTGAAAATTTGTGCTGTAGCACACAGATGATTGGTATTCCAAATATAATATAATAATATATTAATACACATATGATCAAAAAAGGGCAGAAAGTCACAAATAGAACATTTTAGTTAAAAATAGAGATTAGTGAAATAAGAAATGGTTATTTGTGATCTAAAACCACAATGTATTTTTGACAGGAAAATGCAAAATGAATAATTTGAAAAAAATTATATAAATGATAGGAGAATAAACTGAGAAATTCTACCTGAATCTAGAAGGGAATTAAAAAGAGTTAAAAACAATTAGAGCCAATGGATTAGGTTAGATTAGAGCAAAGTTTTATATTTGAAGATAGGGGCCACATAGCTTTTCACTCACATTTAACCCAGTGCTTTGCAGAGTTCAATAACCATTCATTGAAGAAAAAGAAATAACTTGGACAAATGGTTTTTTGAAAAATATTTAAAGCAAAATGTTTCTGAAGTAATTTAACAGATAGCCAGCAATCTTTGTGTGCATAAAGGATATATTTTATTTTTCAAATCCCATAGACATTTGCAAAAATTTCCCTAATTAGGGTAAAAATGCATCAGTGAATTTTTCAAACTAGGAATTGTAAGGCCATATTCTTTAACCATATGTATTACTATTTGAATTTCCCATACATACAAATGGGAAATTTTAAAAAGGCATTGTCAGTAAGTATTGAGCCAGAAAATATATCAAGCGATTATTTGTAAAGTAAATAAGTTAAAGTTATAAGTAAAGACTACTTATAACAAGAATATTTGCAGAGAACTTTTAAAATGAGATATAAAGTTAAAATAGTTAAAAAGTATATTATTGGCCTGAAGATAATCAGAAGGTCAGTGGATTCAAATAAAGACTAGGTATAGATCATATAATATGTAAATGTTAAATGTTGTATGTGACAGAAAAGGAAACATAATAGGCAGATCTGATGAAAGGACAAATCAATAGCTTTTCAAATTAGTGGGATTATTAAACAAATATTTCAATAGCTGATAAAATTTTTGGAACTAATATGAAGTTAGTTCTCTTCATTTCAGATTCTATATCAGAATAAATTCAATATAGTGGAGTTAAATTTAAAAAATGAAGGTATAGGAAAATAGAAGGAAATAATGTTGAATATGTTTCTGGTCTTAGGGTTGGAAAGTACTTTCCAAACATCAAGTCAAAGACAAAAACATATGAGGAAATAATGAGATTTTACTGAAAATATCTGAAAAATAAAAAATACTTACTAAAGTGCACATGGCACACTGGTGTAACTATTTGCAATATTTAATGGTATAAGGGTTTAACATCCTTAATATAAAATCAGTGCTAGCAATCAATACATAGCATATGAATATCCCAACAGAGAAACAGGTTAAGTACATGAGCAAATAATCTACAAGAAGAAAACTAGCCAATAAAATATGAAAAAAAGTTCAACCCCAGTAGTAATCAAAGTGAAATAAATAGAAACATGTTACCAGTTCTAAATTTTCAAATTTGCATGCTTTGAAAAATGGTAATACCCAGTTTGGGCTAGGGTGCAATTATGACCATTCTGGAAGAAAATTTTGCAATATTTCATAGGAGACTTACAATCTTTGCACTTTTTGACTGGGTAATTTTTCCTCTAGGAACATATTTTTAGATCTCAAGAAATCCATGAAGGACTTATGTACAATAATCTTCATTGAGGCATTATTTATAATATTGAAATACTCAAAGCAAACTAAATGTCTTAACATAAGAATTGGATAAAGTATTGTACAATGATCAAAATCATGTTAATAATAGCATTTAACAACATATTTAAATGCTTAAGATATGCTGTTAAATGAAAAAGTAAGTTATAAAATAATATTTACAGAATGCTCAATTTTATTTTATTTATTTATTTTTTATTTATTTTTATTATTATTATACTTTAAGTTTTAGGGTACATGTGCACAATGTGCAGATTTGTTACATATGTATACATGTGCCATGTTGGTGTACTGCACCCATTAACTCGTCATTTAGCATTAGGTATATCTCCTAATGCTATCCCTCCCCCATTCCCCCCACCCCACAACAGTCCCCGGAGTGTGATGTTCAGAATGCTCAATTTTAAATAAAAAATATATACTATTTTCATAGAAAAACTCTTAATGATGTTCTTAGTTAATATCTCTAATCTTTGTAGAGTCACCTGAGAGATTGCAGATAATTTTTATTTTTCTATATTTTCTACATTTAGGAAACATGTTATTTACATAGAAAAACAGGAAATAAATATATTAAAAAGCCATGTCTTTCAGATAAAACCTTTAGGTTGAAAAATGAAATTCTAAGAGATAATGAGGGTATTTGTGAAGACGTTAATGAAAATATTTTAAATTTATTATTATTATTATTATTTTGAGACGGAGTCTCGCTCTGTCGCCCAGGCTGGAGTGCAGTGGCGCGATCTCGGCTCACCACAAGCTCCGCCTCCAGGGTTCACGCTATTCTCCTGCCTCAGTCTCCGGAGTAGCTGGGACTACAGGCGCCCGCCACCACGCCCAGCTAAAGTTTTTGTACTTTTAGTAGAGACGGGGTTTCACCGTGTTAGCCAGGATTGTCTAGATCTCCTGACCTAGTGATCCACCCGCCTGTTATTCTTGACTTCTCTGTGAAAATTCTAATTGCTACAGGCAGGAGAATTTTATCACAGAATCACATTTGGTGAATTATGAATTGAGAATGTTCATAATTCTCAGTTACAAAATTTTCAGTTACCACAATTATATAATGTCTTTTCAGTATTTTTTTGGAAGGCCCTATGGTTATTCTTCAAATAATCTTGGAAATGTCCCAGTTTTGGGGTCCTAGAGAATCTTAGAGCTAGAAGCAACCTTGGATCATTTGGTTCGATTCTTTTCATTTCACAGCTGAGAACCCAGGTCCGTTATATGACCCCTTTACTGAAACAAAGCCAGAAGGCAATGATAGACTTTTATTCCTTCCTTGTTGTATAATGTGCTATGTACATATACCTGAAGATGATTCTGCAAGCCTGTTTAATAGCTCTTGCAGTTGAACTTCTTTTTAGGTAGGGAGGTACATTTCTCGTGATTAGAAAGAAACATCAGACCAATTTTTGCCTAATGGTCTATGTGAAAACCAAAGTGTTACTATATATAACATATGGTAACCCATTTACTCAAAACTTCTACATAAGATGTGCTGATCTACCTGGGCATGCACATTTTTCTTGAGGGAGTATTAAATCTTTAATATTGTACTAATTGCAGAGAATTCCCAATCTTTAGCTGTAAGTTCTCAACTATAAGGCTTTAAGGGTAGTCCTCATCAATTCTTTATTTAACTCCTTACCTTTTTAAATTAGAAATCGAGGTGGTTAATTTTCCTTTGATACAACCTTTGAAAAATTCTTGCAGCAGCTACCTTTGATCCAAAGTGTTTCCGTCTTATATATAGTGGTATAACAGGACTTAATAAGCTGAGATAGCTTTTGATTAAATGAGAATGACTTCCAGATTGAGTAGTGGAAAAGGTTTTGCATATGATTTGCAAAAGGTATTGGTTTCATGTTCTTCCCTATTTTTACTATTAAATATCGCCCTCAACCTTAGATAAAAATACTTGGAATTTAACTTAAATTATGCATGTGTATAGATTATTCTTTTACTTAAATTCTTCACTATATAGAAACCACATATGCTTCTTAATTGCTAATGTGATGAACATCTTTGGTAAATGCACAAACTTAAAAATATTAAGAAAACAAATAAAATGCACATGAAATTGAGAGGGCAAGATGTGTTAATTTCCCAGCTTTATAATGCTGCAATGTCCATCAGAGATCTTGGAGCCATTTAGGGATAGAACCCAGTGACTGAGTCATCACACTTCAGGCTTAGTCCTCAGCCTTGCAAGGCCAGAAATTTAGTCTTGTCAGAAATCAGAGATAATTAGGCCATAGAAAATTGCTTCATTTCTGTAAAAGAAAGAAATATATAAACTAGGATATCAATTTACTCATTTGTAATGAGAAATATATCTGTAGCTAGAACTGAATAATTACTCTTTACAGGTCAGCATATTCTTTCCCTGTAGACAATAGACAAAGTCTACAACATTTAATCAGAAGTCTCATCTGATGAAAATAGATATGTTCAGTTTTAGCGAGTGCCTTCTCTGGATTAAGGATAGGTTAAATTAAGACTTCAAAACTGGTTTTACCCACTAGAATACAGAGATCATTACCTATTGAATCTATTGGCCTACAATTTCCATCTCCTGGCTATGCACTGACTATATTTTTATCACTAGTCTTTCTCTTTCTGTAGGCTTCTGTGTTTATCTTTCATAACTTCGTATCGTATTTTTGACTTTTTATAGACATTTCAAATATCAGTTCAGTGATTCATATGCTAGCACTAGATAAACCCACACAATGTGATTTCTTCACTGGTCACAGCTGTGCAAGTTGTTGCCTAAATAAATGGTTTTTAGCTCAATATTTTAAGATATTTCACTATATACTTTATATAACCTTCATACAAAAACATAATTTATATTTTGTAGGTCAAACCAGTTTATGGGTCAAACTAGGTTCCCAAATGTGGTCACATCTATATTTTTAGATTTACCTTTACTCACTATGGTGAGTTTTCCATTCTTATTTATGTTAAATATCTGTGCTACTATTTCCAGATGTCTCTGGAAGTTTTGCACTCCCAAGGGCTCTGATGCCCATGAAGGAAGTGTTGCATTTTTGGAGATGCCCATCAATCTGGGCACTGCAGCTGACCCCATCTGATGGCACTGGCACTGGTTCCTGCCCTCAAGATGCAGTCTTCTGCCTGCTGCCTGTATTGCCCTTCACTGCAAGCAGGACTGTGCCCTACTGCTGCAAGAGCTGTGGCAAAAGCAGCTGGCTAGGCAGATGCAAAAATAGTGGGGTTAAAATATGTCATTAAAATGGTCAACACCAAAATAAGAAACTTCTGGGTAAAGTCAGACCCTGAGGAAATGGGTCAGCATGATCCAAAGAGATAGGTCGACAACTCAGAGTTTGCCTTGGAATAGAAGAGGATTTTGGAGGTGGACAGGTGAAAAGGAGAGGGAAGAAAGAGAGAGGAGATTTAGTTATCATTGTGAGTGACTGGTGCAGGTCTGATGTCTACAGGTGAATTAGAAAGACTCCCCTCCTTCCTGGCAGAGGCAGCTCCTCCTGAGAGCACGTGACTTGAAAAGGAATAAGGGATAGATTTGTTTATATTTGCACCTCCTTGGCCAGGTGCATTTATGCAGGGCACATACTGTACAATTGTTTAAAGACTTAAACAATTCATTTAGCAAGAATATTAAAGAATGATATAGTTAAAGAAGATGGAGTATTATTAAGAATATAAAGTTTTTGGTGTTTACCATTCATTTTTCTTACTTGCTCATAAAAATAAGAACGGAAGAGAGTTTTAAATATCAAATGTAAATTTGTTTAGTGTTAGTTATCTAGTTTATGTTGTACTCATCTTGTGATTCCTAATACCAAAGGAATCTTAATAAGAAGTTTATTGGTTCACTTCCCTCAGGAAATAAAATCTTAGAGAATTTCACATTCTGTTGTGCTCTATTTTCACAATTGTAATTTTTCCTTTTCTTCATAACTTGAGTTGTGCTTGTCAACTACATCCAATAGGCTACTCTTATTCAGAGTCAGCAATGCCTGGCTTCTAGGCAATATTCCTGGACAGTATTACTTTTCAAACATTTGAGGCTAGTGCCATGTTTATTTAGGTCAGGATTAAACTATTTATTCCCCTGAAACCCATTTGAAATGGAGCTTCTGGATTATTTATTTCCAGTTTTACCTACAGGCAAAAAAGTAAGTGGTTTGGATTTAATCGTATCTACAGGAAATAGAAAAATACCTCAAACCTTTTGATTCTGTAAGTTCTTTGAAATTTTCTAGCATGTGTGTGTGTGCACAGTTATATGTGTGTGTGTATGTCCATGTATATATATGTGTTTTGTATACACACACACAAATATGCCAGATTTGCTGTATAGATTTTAGACATTTAAAAATTAAAAGTATCTTATTGCTTCTCCCTAGGTAGTTAGTCCCCTACGATAAATTAGTATTACTGCTTTGCAAATTTAAACTGTGAACATTTTCATTTGAGGTGAATTCAGAGTTGACTTTCAGCAGTGTGTTGCTAGAGGTGTGACACAATGGAGAGTCTTTGGAGAGAACACGGCAATAGAAGAATTTTAAAGCAGATGCATGCCAGTGATCAAGTTGTAAACCTTGGCGGAAAACAACTACTTCACTTTTCTAGCAAACTGATTTTCTGGATTCATTTCAAATCAATTTCTAAAATGTCTATGCCCATTTTTAGGCTACCAGGACTCCCCTGCATGCCCCACCCCCAACTTTTTTCCATCTAAGTCTACTTTTTAGATTGAGACCCTTATCTCCTATCATCCATCCTAACCATTGGATATCTGCTTCCCTAGGAATTGGCTATGAAGTAGAACAGTCTCCCTAGCCTTCCCTAGCTAGTTGAAGATGACAACCAGTACTTTATGGTTTTAATATCTTAGCTGCTGATCATAGAGGAAAAGGTAAAATAAAAAAAGTAGCATGTATGAAGAATACATAATGTTTCTTATAACCTTAACAGTTCCCACAGGCATAGTCCTTTATCCAGAGGTGGTATCTGGTGGCCTAGGGGAGCACCTGATGTCTTACTCCTACGTGTTGGGCTACTAACAGCATCCCTACCTCCCTGTCACCAATTATAATAATTTTTTGGCCAATTCTCCTCTTAACAACAAAAATAGCAATAATGACAACAAAATGTAAGGATAGAAGCCATTATTTTTCAATGTAATCAAATAAATTTTATTGCAGAACAATTGCTGCGATGGTTAATTTTAGGTGTCCACCTGATTGCATTAAGGGAGACCCAGAGAGCTGGTAAAACATTATATGTATCAGATAGCTGGTACGTTTGTGAGGGTTTTCCAGAAGACACTGGCACTGAGTTAGTAGACTGAGTAAGGAAGGTGGATCCTTTTATGTGTCTTTAAACATTTCTTTTACTGTATGCAAAGGAATGAAACTAGAACCCTGTCTCTCTCTATATAAAAAATTCAATTCAAAATGGATTAAAGACTTAAATCTAAGAACTGAAACTATGAAACTCCTACAAGAAAATAATAATGGAAACTCTCCAGGACATAAATCTGGGCAAAGAGTTTTTGAGTAAGAAACCAAAAGCATAGGCAACCAAAACAAAAATGGACAAATGGGATCACATGAAGCTAAAAAAGCTTTTGGACAGAAAAAAAAAAAAAAAAAAAAACAAGTGAAGAGGCAACTCACTGAATGAAAGAAAATATTTGCAAACAAGAAAAACAAATAATCTTATTTAAAAATTGGCAAAATACCTGAATAGATATTTCTGAAAAGAAGACATACAAATGGACAACAAGTGAATAAAAAATGCTCAACATCACTATCGTCAGAGAAATACAAATAGAAATTTCAATGAGATATCATCTCACCCCAATTGAAATGACTTTATCCAAAAGACAGGCAATAATAAATGCTGACGAGCATGTAGGGAAAGGGGAACACTCATACACTGTTGATAAAAATGAAAATTAGTACAGTCACTACAGAGAACAGCAGAGAGGTTCCTCAAAAAACTAAAACTAGAACTACCATATGATCCAGCAATCCCCCTGCTGGTCATATATATCCAAAAAAGAGAAAAAATAGTATATCAAAGAGATATATGTATTCCTATGTTTATTACGGCACTACTAACAATAACCAAGATATAGAATCAACCTAAATGTCCATCAAAGGACAAACAGATAAAGAAAATGTGGCACATATACACAATAAAATATTATTTAGGCATAAAAAGAATGAAATCCTGTAATGTACAACAAAATGGATAAAGTGAAGGACATATGTTAAGTAAAACAAGCCAGGCCAGAAAGACAAATACCAGATGTTCTTACTCATATGTGGGAGTTAAAAAATATCGAATCATGGAGATAAAGAGTAAAATGATGGTTACCGGAGGCAGGGAGAGTAACGTGGGGGTGGGGGGGGAGGAGGAGGGATAAAGTGGAGATTATAATGTGAGGATGGTGAATGGGTACAAAAATACAATTAGAATGAATAAGATATAGTATTCAGTAGCACAACAGGAAGACTATAGTTAATACTAATCTATTGTATATTTTAAAGTAACTAAAAGATGGGAATTGACATGTTCCTAACACAAAGATATGATAAATGTTGAGGTGATGGATACCCCAATTACCCTAACTTGATCACTACACACTGTATGTCTGTATTGAAACATCACATGTACCCTATAAATGTGTACAAGTATTATGTATCTGAAATGGTTTGGCTGTGCCCCCACCCAAATATTAACTTGAATTATATCTCCCTGAATTCCCACATGTTGTGGAAGAGACCCTGGGGGAGATAATTGAATCATGGGGGCTGGTCTTTCCCATGCTATTCTCGTGGTAGTGAATAAGTCTCAGGAGATCTGATGGGTTTATCAGGGTTTTCTGGACTTGCTTTCTCCTCGTTCTCTCTTGCTGCCACCATGTAAGACATGCCTTTCACCCTCCACCATGATTATGAGACCTCCCCAGCCATGTGGAACTGTAAGTCCAATTAAACCTCCTTTTCTTCTCAGTCTTCGGTAGGTCTTTATCAGCAGCAGAAAAACAGGCTAATATAGTAAAGTGGTACCAGAAGTAGTGTGGTACATTGCTGAAAAGATACGTGAAAATGTGGAAGTGACTTTGGAACCGGGAAACAGGCAGATGTTGGAACAGTTTGGAGGGCTCAGAAAAAGACAGGACAATGTGAGAAAGTTTGGAACTCTCTGGAGACTTGTTGAATGGCTTTGCCTAAAAGCCTGATAGCAATATGGACAATAAGGTCTAGGCTGAGTTGGTCTCAGATGGAGATGAGGAGCTTGTTGGGAACTGGCACAAAGGTGACTCTTGTTATATTTTAGCAAAGACACTGGCATCATTTGGCCCCTGCCCTAGAGATTTATGGAACTTTGAACCTGAGAGAGATGATTTAGGGTATCTGTTAGAAGTAATTTTTAAGTAGCAAAGCATTAAAAATGTGACTTAGGTGCTGTTAAAAGCATTCTGTTTTAAAAGGGAAACAGAGGATAAAAGTTCAGAAAATTTGCAGCCTGATGATGCAGTAGAAAAGAAAAACCCATTTTCTGGGGAGAAATTCAAGCCAGCTGCAGAAATTTGCATAAGTAGCAAGGAGCCTAATGTTTAATCCCCAAGACCATGGGGAAAATGTCTCCAGGCCATGTCAGAGACCTTCATGGCAGCCCCTCCCATCACAGGCCTGCAGGCCCAGGCAGAAAAAGTGGTTTCATGGGCCGAGCCCAGGGTTCCCATGCTGTGTGGAGCCTAGGAACTCGGTGCCCTGTGCTCCAGCAGCTCCAGCAGTGATTGAAAGGGGCCAACATACAGCCGGGACTGTGGCTTCACAGGGTGTAAGCCCCAATCCTTGACAGCTTCCATGTGGTGTTGAGCCTGCAGGTGCACAGAAGTCAAGAATTGGGGTTTGGGAACCTCCGCCTAGATTTCAGAAGATGTATGGAAATGCCTGGATGCCCAGGCAAAAGTTTGTGGCAGGAGAGGGGCCCTCATGGAGAACTTCTGCTAGGGCAGTGGGGAAGGGAAATGTGGGGTTAGAGCCCCCACACAGAGTCCCTACTGGGGCATTGCCTAGTGGAGCTGTGAGGAGAGAGACACCATCCTCCAGACCCCAGAGTGATAGATCCTCCTACAGACTTGCACTGTGTGCCTGGAAAAGCTGTGGACACTCAACGCCAGGCTGTGAAAGCAGCTAGGAGGGAGACTGTACCCTGCAAAGCCACAGGGGTGGAGCTGCCCAAGGCCATGGGAACCCACCGCTTGCATCAGCGTGACCTGGATGTGAGATCTGGAGTCAAAGGAGATCATTTTGGAGCTTTAAAATTTGACTGCCCTGCTGGATTTTGGACTTGCATAGGCCCTGTAACCCCTTTGTTTCGGATAATTTCTCCCATTTGGAACAGCTGTGTTTATCCAATACCTGTCCCCTCCTTGTGTCTAGAAAGTAACTAGCTTGCTTTTGATTTACCAGGCTCATAGGTGGAAGGGATTTGCCTTGTCTCAGATGAAACTTTGGACTGTGGACTTCTGAGTTAATGCTGAAATCAGTTAAGACTTTGGGGGACTGTTGGGAAGGCATGATTGGTTTTTAAATGTGAAAACATGAGATTTGGAGGGGCAAGGGGTTGAATGCCCTCACCCAAATCTTAACTTGAATTGTATTTCCCAGGATTCCCACGTGTTGTGGGAGGGACCCAGGAGAAGGTAATTGAATCATGGGGGCCGGTCTTTCCTGTGCTATTCTCATGATAGTGAACAAGTCTCATGAGATCTGATGGGTTTATCAAGGGTTTCTGCATTTGCTTCCTCCTCATTCTCTTTCGCTGCCACCATAAAAGAAGTGCCTTTTGCCCTCCGCCATGATTATGAGACCTCCCTATCCATGTGGAACTGTAAGTCAAATTAAACCTCCTTTTCTTCCCAGTCTTGGGTATGTCTTTATCAGCAGCATAAAAAATGGACTAATACAGTATCCATAATAATTCAAAATAGGCCGGGCATGGTGGTTCATGCCCATAATCCCAGAACTTTGGGAGGCCAAGGTGGATAGATCACCTGAGGTCAGAAGTTTAAGACCAGCCTGGACAACATGGTGAAACCCTATCTCAACTAAAAATATAAAAATCAGCTGGGCATGGTGGCACATGCTGGTAGTCCCAGCTACTCGGGAGGCTGAGGCAGGAAAATTGCTTGAATCCGGGAGGCAGAGGTTGCAGTGAGATGAGATTATGCCACTGCACTCCAGCCTGGGCAACAAAGTGAGACTTTGTCTCAAAAAATGTTTTTTTAATTAAAAAAATAAAAAAAAAATTAAAATTAAAAAGATGAGCCCTCACCAATGCGGGCATTATGCAATCTGTTGAGGGCCTGGATAGAACAAAGAGCAGGAGGAAGGGTAAATTTCCTTTATCTTATGGAGCTGGAACATACATCACCTTCTCCTGCCCATGGACATCAGAACTCCACTGTGATGGTTAATAATGAGTGTCGATTTGATTGGATTGGAGGATGCAGTATTGATCCTGGGTGTGTCTGTGAGGTTGTTGCCAAAGGAGATTAACATTTGAGTCAGTGGGCTGGGCGAGGCAGACCCACTCTTAATTGGGTGGGCACCATCTAATCAGCCACCAGCAAATATAAAGCAGGCAGAAAAATGTGAAGTGAGAAGACGGGCCTAGCCTCCCAGCCTACATCTTTCTCCCATGCTGGATGCTTCCTGCCCTCAAACATCAGATTCCAAGTTCTTCAGTTTTGGGTCTTGGACTGGCTCTCCTTGCACCTCAGCCTGCAGACAGCCTATTGTGGGACCTTGAGATCATGTAAGTTAATACTTTCTGTGTGTGTGTGTATATATGTGCGTATATATATACGTGTATATATGTGTATATATATACACTTATACACACACACACACACACACATATATATATCTCCTATTAGTTCTGACCCTCTAAGAGAACCCTGATTAATACATTCTCAGGCTTTTGGATTCCCAGACTTATTCCAGTGGCCTCACAGTTTCTCAAGCCTTCAGCCTCAGACTGAATTACACCATTGGCTTCCCTGGTTCTCCAACTGGTAGATAGCATATTGTGAGACTCTCAGCTTTTGTAATCATGTGAGCCAATTCCCATAATAAAATAGCTTATTGCTTCTGTTTTCCTGGATAACCCTAATGTAATTGGTATCTTATTTCTTTAGATGTAGGCTGACATGGTTTGGATCTGTGTTCCCACCCAAATCTCATGTTGAGTTGTAATCCCCAGTGGTGGAGGTAGGTCCTGATAGGAGGTGACTGGATCATGGGGATGGGGTTCTCATGAATGGTTTAGCACCATCCCCTCGGTGCCTTTCTCATGATAGTGAGTAGGTGAGTTATCATGAGATCTGGTTGTTTTAAAAGTGTGTAGCTTCTCCTCCCTCTCTCTTCCTTCTTCTCCAGCCATGTAAGATGCCTGCTTTCCCTTCATCTTCCACCATGAGTGTAAGTCTCCTGAGACATTCCCAGTAGCAGAAGCTGCTTTGCTTCCTGTACAGCCTGCAGAATTGTGAGCCAACTAAACCTGTTTTCTTTATAAATTATCCAGTCTTAGTTATTTCTTTATAGGAGCAAGAGAATGGACTAAAACATTGGCAATAATAGATGTTCTTTTTTATGTACTCTTGTTCTTTCCTTTTTTCCCTACTTCTGTAACTGGACTTCAGGTGTGGTGACTTGTTTTGAATAGAATAATTGAAACAACTTTAGCTCCTGGAGCTTCAATGCAAGAAAACATCTTTTCATATCCATGAGCCAATGTGCCAAGTTTGAAATTTCCTGCTCTTTCTGTTTTTTGTTCTTTTCAACACATTTACCTGGGTGACAAAATAATCTGTACCCTAAATCCCCATGACACTCATTTCTTTTGTCTTCTGGTCTTAAAACAGTTTATTAAATCACGCTGGTTGTAATTATTATCCCACCAAATTCTTATCTGTTTCAAGGACATAAACATTTATTTCAGGCTAGAATAAATATTAAAATAGATCTGGCTTTGGCTTCATTACTTCCTAAGTCACTGCTTATCTGCAGAAAGCTCAGTATTTAATAAGTGTTAAGAGGTACTTCTAATAGGTGCTCACTTTTTGAGCTGCAGAAAGAGCAAAAGGTTTTGAAAGGAGTTGGGAGGGGCATTGTTTGTTTGTCTATCTGCTTTTGTTTCCAACTTTTATTTTAGGTTAGCAGGGGTACATGTGCGGTTTGTTACATAGGTAACTTGTGTGTCATGGGAGTTTAGTGACAGATTATTTCGTCACCCAGGTAATGAGCATAGTGACTAATGGATATTTTTTTGGATGTCAAGTAGGCCCTGATGTCTATTGTTCCCTTCTTTGTGTCCATGTGTACTCAATTGTTTAACTCCCACTTATAAGTGAGAACATGCGGTATTTGGTTTTCTGTTTTTGCATTAGTTTGCTTAGGATAATGGCCTCCAGTTCCATCAATGTTGTTGTAAAGGACATGATTTTGTTATTTTTCATGGCTGCATAGTATGTCATGGTGCATATGTACTACATTTTATTTTTCTAGTCCACTGTTCTTGGGCATCTAGGTTGATTCCATATCTTTGCTATTGTAAATAGCACTGTAATAAACATATGTGTGCATATCTTTGTCATAGGACAATTTATATTCCTTTGGGTATATACCTAGTAATGGAATTGCTGGGTCAAATGATAGTTCTAAGTTATTTGAGAATTTACCAAACTGCCTTCCACAGTGGCTGAACTAATTTACATTCCCACCAGCAGTGTATACACATTTCCTTTTCTCCCTAAAATGCCATAAGAAAAGGCATTTTCTTATGCCTTTTCTAATTTTTATATACACAAATCCTTGTTGTTACAACTTATGAAGTCTCAAAGAAAAACATCCTAGCACTATGCTGTTGCCACTATTATTCCATAATGAGACTATTTGCTTATGCATTTCATTTGATTCTTGCTGTTGAAGAGAGGAAGTCTGTTATTTTTCAATCTGCACTTTGGAAAGATTATTCTTAGTGGTTATGCTCTTTGTTTTCAGACACTTGCATTGATTGAGGCTAACACTGAACTCAAAATTATAGTGTATACATTGTCCTATTGTTGAAAAATAATCTACTATTGAAGCAACCCTTTGCTCATATTTTGTATAGCAGTTTGGTTTGCCTGTCACTATCAATCAGTGTTTCTGTATCTGCAACAATTCAGCCAATGTCATTTTGAGTCAGAGGGAAATAGTATTATCTACAGACATTATTGCAATATGTTTCAGAAATTATACAACTATTTTAGGTAATTTGAAGCATTCTTCACCTGTATAGCCACTTAATTGTTTTTTAATAGAGAAGTTAGCTTTGGCTATGAATTGGATCCTTCTAAGATGCTTATTTATGAGGAAGACAAGTTCCCTTTTTAAGGATTTGGAGGTACCAATAAACTTTGTCTTAACTTTGAGTTGTCCCCAACTGAAGATCTAAAAATCAATATTAAATAATTTGTTTCAATTGAAACTTAGGAATTGATGACTACCTCTTTTACCACTATAGTTTTTCTTTGCCTATACGTGTATTATCTGGTATTTTCCTTTAATACTTACACTGCTAAAAGAGAATGACATTCAGAATTTTAACAGAAATTTATTACGTTAGCTTCTTGTTCTCTTTTTCCATTTTCTGAGGGTGACTCAAACATGATAAAGGGGCAAACTGACTTACCCAGAAATAAAAATGTTTGACAAAATTTTACGTATCTTTAAAGCTTTACCTCCTCCACGTATGATGAAGTTATTGAATAAAAATGCTTTATAGAGAATGACATTAACCCAGCTATCATTCAAAGTGCAGTAAAAAAAAAATCTGGATTCAATTTTTGTAATGGAAAAGTGAGTACCTCATTAAACCCAACATTTATAATGGTTATTACAATGAATAAAACAATTAGTTCACTGATTAGCACTTGGCAGTTCACCACAGCTGATTTTCAACTCTGAGTCAGAACAAATAAATGTAAGGGAAATATTCGTATATGTTAGCTGGCATGAAGATTTTGAAAATAAAACATAAATGTATTCTTTTTTTCTTTTCTGATATAGGCACAGTTGGAACTCTCCCTTATCCTTTACTCATTCCAGTATCAATTAGCTGTTTCCTTTTAATTTTTGCTTCTCTAACAGGGAACTGTATCAAGGTGACATTTTGTTCTTTCAGTTTTATCAACCAAGTGGCACATCTACTACTTGAATAGCATTATGTTAGGCAGTGGGAAAAATACAAAGACAAAGAACTTGAGGTTTCTGCCTTGGAGGAGATGAAAATTTAGCTGGAGGGACAAGCAAGGCACACCCAAAGGTTCCAAAGCATTCAATAATAAAGAGCAGCATGAACTAATAAGATTTGCATTTATCCAGTTTACAAAAAGGATAAGTAATCTGATTGGCATTCCAACTGTTGTTTTTGGAATTTCTGAGGTATCATAGTAATATGAAATGGTTCTGTTTTTTAGAAACAATAAACTCAGCATCTGTGAATATGAATGAACATGCCAGACACGGTTGGAGGAAAGAACATGTTTAGAGTCAGAATATCTGAGCTTCTGGTGCACTCACTTGGCTGATTCACTCTGGGGAACTTATTTAACCTCAAGTCTTGATTTTCTCATCTGTAAAAATAACAAAACTAATAGCACAAACTGTGGTAGATTGATTGTATCAATGACCATAATTAATGGTGTTTCTATAGCAACATCTTTTTCTGTGTACTGTAACTCTGGGTTGGCCATGTTATTTGCTTTGGCAAGTGGGACAGTAGCAAATTTGATGCAGTCTGACACATGAAAAAGTATACCTGCTCATTCCTTTCCTCCTCTGCCTTTATCATAAGAAATTCCCAAACAAGGGGAGGGGCCATGTGGAACAGAGTCAAGATAGCCCATGTTGTCCAGTTAATGCCCAAGACATGTGAGAGAGTCCTGTTAAGGTAATCAAAACTACCTAGATGACCTGAAACTGATCAAAGATGTGTGAATAAACCCTGTTGAGCTCAGCTGAACTGTGCAGCCAATGATATCAATTTGTAACGAAAGATAGGTGATTACTGTTTTATGCCATTGAGGTTTTCTGCTAGTTTGTTATGCAGCAGTAGCTAACTAATAAAATACTTCATTGCTACTGTGGAGATTAAGACAATGCATATGAATGAGTTTTGCAAACTGTGAGGTAATATACACATGAGTTTAAAAGGTCTTAAGATCAATAGATTATTTGTTGGAGATGAGGACATAGAACAGTCACAAGATGTAGATTTCAGTTACTTCTAGGATCCAGCTAAGTGTCCAAATTGTTCTGTCAATGTTTATTTTGTTATACTTGTTCAAAGTGATATATATTTATTGCGTTGACCTATCTGACTTATCTATTTGTTCAAGTGCCTTAGAAGTTCTTATCACTTATAAATGATTACTGAAAAAAAAAAAAGAAAAGGAACAGTAGAGAAAACACTAGAGCTAAAAACATGGTGTGGAAGAAGGTCACTAGATTGTGTTCACTTAAATCATTTAAGTACAGAAAATTTTCATTAGCAGGCAGTCAAGAATTTTTCCTACCAAGTTATTAATAGTTTGGCCTGACCAAAGCCAAAATTGAGAACCCCCCAAAAAATTATGTATTTTATACTATTTAACATTAATTTATGGAATATTTTCATACTGTTGGATTACAAAAATTAGATACTGCAAACCTAAGTAAAAAGGTAAACTTCTATTTCTGAGTAGTCTGTGTTCTCAGAGTTAATTTTTAAAGTAGATCCTTCGGATTTTGTAGCACATTTTTTCAAAGCAATAATGTTATGTTCTGAGGGTTACCTCAAGACCACAATTAACAGCAATAATTTAGTAAATATATATTTTTGGAACTTAACATGGGCCTGGCTCTGTTCTAGGGAGTAGAAATGTGCTAGTGAATAAAACAGATAAAAATCCATGTTCTCATGGAACTTACATTTTATTAGGGTGGATAAAAATAAGCAAGCTATAGAAATAAATATGTAATATGGCACCTGACAGTTAGTGCTATGGAGAAAAACAAATCAGGGAAGGCATACGGAGTGTGTCAGTGGGGGCTGCAATTTTAACTAGGTGGTTTTTACTGTAGTGGCTAAAGAAATGAGCCAGGGGCTATGAACACAGATAAAAAGACCAATGCTTTGTAGAATTATATTTGGTGGTTTGACATTCCTTCTCCTGCTCTACTTGCTCTTCTCAAGTCTATAGTTTTCACTCTGAATTTGTTGAGATTAAAAAATAGAGAAGAGGGACTCCCAGGCAAGACGGCTGAATAGGAATAGCTCTGGTCTGCAGCTCCCAGTGAGACCATCTCAGAAGATGGGTGACTTCTCCATTTCCAGCTGAGGTACCTAGTTCATCTCATTGGGACTGGTTAGACAGTGGGTGCAGCCCACTGAGGGTGAGCAGAAGCAGCGTGGGGTGTTGTTTCACCCAGGAAGCTCAAGGGGTCAGGAAACTCCCTCCCCTAGCCAAGGAAAGCCACGAGGGACAATGCTGTGAGGGACAGTGTTATCCAGCTCAGATGATGTGCTTTTCCTAAGTCTTCACAATACACAGACCAGGAGATTCCCTCGGGTGCCTACACTACAAGGGCCCTGGGTTTCAAGCAAATACTTGGTGGTCATTTGGGCAGACACTGAGTTAGCTGCAGGAGTTTTTTTCGTACCCAGTGGGGCCTGGAATGCCAGTGAGACAGAACCGTTCTCTCCTCTGGAAAGGGGGCTGAAACCAGGGAACCAAGTGGTCTTTCTCAGGGGATCCCACCCCCAAGGAGACCAGCAAGCTAAGATCCACTGGCTTGAAATTGTTGCCACTAGCACAGAAGTCTGAAGTTGACCTGGGATGCTAGAGCTTGGTGGGGGGAGGGGCATCCACCATTACTGAGGCTTGAGTAGGAGGTTTTCCCCTCACAGTGTAAACAAAGCCACTGGAAAGTTTGGACAGGCTGGAGCCCACTGGAACGCCACAAAGCCACTGTAGCCAGACTGCCTCTCTAGATTCCTCCTCTCTGGGCAGGACATCTCTGAAAGATGATGCAGCCCCAGTCGGGGGCTTATAGATGAAAAATCCCATCTCCCTGGGACAGAGCATCTGGGGGAAGGGGAGGCTGTGGGCACAGCTTCAGCAGACTTAAAAACATTTCTGCCTGCTGGCTCTGAAGAGAGCAGCAGATCTCCCAGCACAGTGCTCAAACTGTGCTAAGGGACAGACTGCCTCCTCAAGTGGGTCTCTGACCCCCATGCCTCCTGGTGGGGAGACATCTCCCAGCAGTGGTTGACAGACACCTCATACAGGAGAGCTCCAGCTGACATCTGGTGGGTGCCCCTCTGGGATGAAGCTTCCAGAGGAAGGAGAAGGCAGCAATCTTTGCTGTTCTGCAGCCTCCCCTGGTGATACCTAGGCAAACAGGGTCTGGATCCCCCAGCAAACTCCAGAAGACCTGCAGAAGAAGGACATGACTGTTAGAAGGAAAACCAACAAACAGAAAGCAATAGTGTCAACATTAACAAAAAGGATGACCACACAAAATCTCCATCCAAAAGTCACCAACAGCAAAGACCAAAGGTAAATAATGCACAAAGATGAGGAAAAACCAGCACAAAAAGTTTGAAAATTCCAAAAACCAGAATGCCTCTTCTCCTCCAAAGGATCACAACTCCTTGCCAGCAAGGAGTTGGATGGAGAATGAATTTGACAGGTTGATAGAACAGGCTTCAGAAGGTGGGTAATAACAAATTCCTCTGAGCTAAAGGAACATGTTCTAACCCAATGGAAGGAAGCTAAGAACCTTGATAAAAGGTTAGAGGAATTTCTAACTAGAATAAGCAGTTTAGAGAAGAATATAAATGACCTGATGGAGCTGAAAAACACAGCACGAGAGCTTTGTGAAGCATACACAAGTATCAATAGCCAAATCGATCAAACGGAAGAAAGGATATCAGAGATTGAAGATCAACTTGATAAAATAAAGCATGAAGACAAGATTAGAGAAAAAAGAATGATGAGGAATGAGCAAAGCCTCCAAGAAATATGGGACTATGTGAAAAGACCAAACCTACGTTTGATTGGTGTACCTGAAAGTGACCAGAAGAATGGAACCAAGTTGTAAAACACACTTCAGGATATTATCCAGGAGAACTTCCCCAACTTAGCAAGACAGGCCAACATTCAAATTCAGGAAATACAGAGAACACCACAAGTTACTCCTCGAGAAGAGCAACCCTAAGACACATAATCATCAGATTCACCACGGTTGAAATGAAGGAAAAAATGCTAACGGCAGCCAGAGAGAAAGGTTGGATTATCCAGAAAGGGAAGCCCGTTAAACTAACAGCAGATCTCTCTTCAGAAAGCCTACAAGCCAGAAGAGAGTAAGGGCCAATATGCAACATTCTTAAAGAAAAGAATTTTCAACCCAGAATTTCATATCCAGCCAAATTAAGCTTCATAAGTGAAGGAGAAATAAAATCCTTTATAGACAAGCAAATGCTGAGGGGTTTTGTCACCACCAGGCCTGTCTTACAAGAGCTCCTGAAGGAAGCACTAAATATGGAAAGGAAAAACCTGTACCAGCCACTGCAAAAACAAACCAAAATGTGAAGACCATTGACACTATGAAGAAACTGCATCAACTAATGGGCAAAATAACCAGTTAGCATCATAATGACAGGATGAAATTCACACATAACAATATTAACCTTAAATATAAATGGGCTGAATGCCCCAATTAAAAGGCACATACTGGCAAATTGGATAAGGAGTCAGGACCCATTGGTTTGTTGTATTCAGTAGATGTATCTCTGTGTAAAGACACACATAGGCTCAAAATAAAGGGATGGAGGAAGATTTAACAAGCAAATCAAAAGCAACAACAACAACAACAACAACAAAGCAGGGATTGCAATCTTAGTCTCTGATAAAACAGACTTTAAACCAACTAAGATAAAGAAAGACAAAGAAGGGCATTACATAATGGTAAAGGGATCAATGCAACAATAAGAGCTAACTATCTTAAATATATATGGACCCAATACAGGAACACCCAGATTCATAAAGCAAGTTCTTAGAGACCTACAAAGAGACTTAGACTCCCACACAATAATAGTGGAAGACTTATTTATTTATTTATTTATTTTTTGAGATCGAGTCTCACTCTGTCGCCCAGGCTGGAGTGCAGTGGCGTGATCTTGGCTCACTGCAACCTCTGCCTCTGGTTCAAGTGATTCTCCTGGCTCAGCCTCCTGAGTAGCTGGGACTACAGGTGCGTGCCACCATGCCCAGCTAATTTTGTATTTTTAGTAGAGATGGGGTTTCACCATGTTGGCCAGGCTGGTCTCAAACTCCTGACCTCAGGTGATCCACGCGCCTCGGCCTCCCAAAGTGCTGGGATTACAGGCATAAGCCACTGCGCCTGGCCAATAGTGGGAGACTTTAATACCCCACTGGCAGTATTAGACAAATCAATGAGACAGAAAATTAACAAGGATATCAGGACTTGAACGCAGCTCTGGACCAAGTGAAACTAATGGAGATCTACAGAACTCTCCACCCCAAATCAACAGAATATACATTCTTTTCAACACCACATAGCACTTATTCTAAAATTGATGACATAATTGGAAACAAAACACTCCTCAGCAAATGCAAAAGAATGGAAATCATAACAAACTGTGTCTCAGACCACAGTGCAATCAAATTAGAACTCAGGATTAAGAAGCTCACTCAAAACCAAACAACTACATAGAAACTGAACAGCCTGCTCCTCAATGACTACTGGGTAAATAGCAAAATAAGGGCAGAAATAAATAATTTATTTGAAACCAAAGAGAACAAAGACACAACGTATCAGAATCTCTGGAACACAACTAAAGCAGTGTTTAGAGGGAAATTTATAGCACTAAATGCCCACAGCAGAAAGCCAGAAAGATCTAAAACCAGCACACTAACATCACAATGCAAAGAGCTAGAGAAGCAAGAGCAAACAAATTCAAATGCTAGCAGAAGACAAGAAATAACTATCAGAGCAGAACTGAAGGAGATAGAGACACAAAAAACCCTTCAAAAAATTAATGAATCCACAAGCCGGTTTTTTGAAAAGATTAACAAAATAGACCGCTAGCCAGATAATGAAGAAGAAAAGAGAGAAGAATCAAATAGACACAATAAAAAATGATAAATGGGAGATCACCAGTGATCCCACAGAAATACAAACTACCATCAGGGAATACTATAAACACTTCTGTGCAGATAAACTAGAATATCTAGAAGAAACGGATAAATTCCTGGACACATACACCCTCCCAAGACTAAACCAAGAAGTCAAATCCCTGAATAGCCCAGTAACAAATTCTGAAATTGAGGCAGTAATTAATAGTCTACCAAACATAAAAGCACAGGACCAGATGAATCCACAGCCGAATTCTACCAGAGGTACAAAGAAGAGTTGGTACTATTCCTTCTGAAACTATTCCAAATGTTAGAAAAAGAGGGACTCCTCCCTAACTCATTTTATGAAGGCAGCATCATCCTGATAGCAAAACCTGGCCGAGACACACACAAAAAAGAAAATTTCAGGCCAATATCCCTGATGAACATCGATGAAAAAATCCTCAATAAAATACTGGCAAGCTGAATCCAGGAGCACATCAAAAAGATTATTCACCATGATCTAGTCATCTTCACCGCGGGGATGCAAGACTTGTTCAACATATGCAAATCGATAAATGTAATTCATCACTTAAACAGAACCAATGATAAAAACCACATAATTATCTCAATAGATGCAGAAAAGGTCTTTGATAAAATTCAACACCTCTTCATGGTAAATACACTCAATAAACTAGGTACTGATGGACCATATCTCAAAATAATAAGAGCTATTTATGACAAACTCACAGCCAATATCATACTGAATCAGCAAAAGCTGGAAGCATTCACTTGGAAAACCAGCACAAGCCAAGGACGCCCCCTCTCACCACTCCTATTCAACATAGCATTGGAAATTCTGGCCAGGGCAATCAGGCAAGAGAAAGAAATAAAGCATATTCAAACACGAAGAGAAGAAGTCAAGTTATCTGTTTGCAGATGACAGGATTGTATATTTAGAAAACCCTACCTTCTCAGCCCAAAAATTCCTTAAGCTTATAAGCAATTTCAGCAAAGTCTCAGGATACAGAATCAATGTGCAAAAATCACAAGCATTGCTACATACCAATAATAGACAAACAGAGCACCAAATCAAGAGCAAACTCCCATTCACAACTGCTACAAAGACAATAAAATACCTAGGAATACAACTTACAAGGGATGTGAGGGACCTCTTCAAGGAGAACCACAAACCACTGTTCAAGGAAATAAGAGAGGACACAAACAAATATTCCATGCTCATGAATAGGAAGAATCAATATCGTGAAAATGACCACACTGCCCAAAGTAATTTATAGATTCAATACTATTCCCATCAAGCTACCATTGACTTTCTTCACAGAATTAGAAAAAAACTACTTTAAAATTCATATGGAACAAAAAAGGAGCCCATATAGCCAAGACAATCTTAAGCAAAAAGAACAAAGCTGGAGGCATCATGCTACCTGACTTCAAACTATAATACAAGCCTGCAGTAACCAAAACAGCAGGGTACTGGTATCAAAATAGATATATAGACCAATGGAACAGAACAGAGGCCTCAGAAATAACACCACACATCCACAACCATCTGATCTCTGACAAATCTGACAAAAACAAGCAATGGGGATAGTATTCCCTCCTTAATAAATGTTGTATGCTCATATGACTAGCCATATGCAGTAAACTGAAACCGGACCCCTTCCTTACACCTTATACAAAAATTAACTCAAGATGGATTAAAGATTTAAATGTAAGACCTAAAATCATAAAAACCCTAGAAGAAAACCTAGGCAATACCATTCAGGACATAGGCCTGGGCAAAGACTTCATGACTAAAACACCAAAAGCAATTGCAACAAAAGCCAAAATTGACAAATGGGATCTAATTAAACTAAAGAGCTTCTACACAGCAGAAGAAACTATCATCAGAGTGAACAGGCAACCTAAAGAATGGGAGAAAATTTTTGCAATTTATCCATCTGACAAAGGGATAATATCCAGAATCTACAAGGAACTTAAACAAATTTGCAAGAAAAAAACAAACAACCCCATCAAAAATGGGTGAAGGATATGAACAGACACTTTTCAAAAGAAGATATTTATGCAGCCAACAAGCATATGAAAAAAAGCTCATTATCACTGGCCATTATAGAAATGCAAATCAAAACCACAATAAGATACCATCTCATGGGAGTTAGAGTGGTGATCATTAAAAAGTCAGGAAGCAACAGATGCTAGAGAGGATGTGGAAAAATAGGAATGCTTTTACACTGTTGGTGGGAGTGTAAATTAGTTAAACCATTGTGGAAGACAGTGTGGCGATTTCTCAAGAATCTAGAAGTAGAAATACCATTTGACCCAGCAATCCCATTACTGGGTATATACCCAAAGGATTGTAAATCATTCTACTATAAAGACACATGCACACGTATGTTTACTGTAGCACTATTCACAATAGCAAAGACTTGGAACCAACTCAAATGCCCATCAATGTTATACTGGATAAAGAAAATGTGGCACATGTACACCATGGAATACTATACACCCATGAAAAAGAATGAGTTTATGTCCTTTGCAGGGACATGGATGAAGCTGGAAACCATCATTCTCAGCAAAGTAGCACAGAAACAGAAAACCAAACACCACATGTTCTCACTCATAAGTGGGAGTTGAACAATAAGAACATATGGGCACAGGGAGGGAAACATCACACTCTGGGGCTTGTTGGGGATGGGCAGCAAGGGGAGGGATAGCATTAGGAGAAATACCTAATGTAGATGATGGATTGATGGGTGCAGCAAACCACCATGTCACATGTATACCTATGTAACAAACCTGCATGTTCTGCACATGTATCCGAGAACTTAAAGTATAATAAAAAATTATAGAGAAGAGGTGGGAATAGGTGAGGAGGCCACAATGGTGTGCCCAAGACTGCAAAGGGAGAAGTAGGTGAAAGATGAGAGGGAGATATGAAGCAATGGCAACTAGTCCCCCTTTTGGAGATGGTTGTTCACATCAAGGTAAATGATAGGAAATGGAACATAGAGTTTTCTGTCTTATAATGTGCTTTTGTATCTCAATGTGTTTTTCCTCTTTTAGAACATACATTACTGAAAGGCAGGAAATACGTGTTTGCTTGGAGATAAAATAAAGGGGGTTTCTGGTGATCTGGATTAAACTACTCAAAATGTCTTGAGGATGTTATCTCATATGAGGTGACAGCTTTTTATAGTGGGTGCCGGTTGCCTGTGAAAATACCCCAAAAGATAATGTCTTAAAAGAGCAATTTTATTTTGCTCATGATTTTGTAGGTCAAGTACTAGGCTTTTCTGGATCCAGAGAAGTCATTTATATGATAGCTCACTCTCTTAAAAGGCAAATTGGTACTGACTGTTTGGGAACACAGCAGGTCTTCAGTCTGGAACTTCCAGTTCTTCTCTATGTGGGCTTCCCCATGGGATTCTTTGGTCTTCCTCACAGCATGGTGGCTGGTTTTCAAGAGCATTGTTCTAAGACACAGGTAGCGGAAGCTGTCAGTTTCATAAGGCCTAGGCACAGAAACAGGTACAGTGTCACTTCTGTAGTTTTGTGTTGATTAAAGCAATTGCAGAACATACACAAAATCTAAAGGGAATGGACATAAATTCCCACATCTCCATGGTTAGGTTGAAATGTTAAGTGAGAAAAAAAAGTGTGTTATTCCTACTCGATTGTCAATAGTTTTTACATTTTAAGACTCTGTTTGGTTTACTCCATCTAACACAGTACCTTAAGTTGTCATTGTTAAAGTTAATTTAAAGTTAAATTGAACAATGATTTTATATGGCTCAATATTTGAGGAAAAGTGTGAAAGATGTTTTTCTAAAATTGGGAGAGAATAAACTGGATAGGATCTTTCCTACCTTGATTGTTTTACTCCAAGAAGTCCATGTTACTTCCCCAAAGTCATTTTCCTTTCATTGCAGCCATGGTTGACTGGCCAACTGGACATTAGCTGTAAAAATCAGAGAGGAAGAAATTGCTTTAATAGATTCAAAGTCAGGCAAGAATATTTCCTGCATCGTGAGCCACTAAGCTGCAGGTATTCCAGACTGCTGCCTGTTGGAGATCACCGAACAAATCTGATGGCCCATAAAGGCAAGACGGGCTTAAGGCCAACCTAAAGGGTAGAACTGTCAGAAGAGTTTTAAAAATGAGTCATGCAGTGTTGATTTTAACTCAATGTTGTGCTTAGGTATGGAAAAACCATTCATCATTATTTCACTTATAAAACCGTACTCAGTGCTCAGCTGGTGTACAGCCTTCTAAGGCTCATGGGACATCTACCATTCATTTTTGTCTGTATTGGTTAATGCTGTTCAGAGAAGAGTATTCTGAGATAAAAATTTTGTTTTAAAAAACAGAGGTTGATAACTCTGAAAGCAAAATAGGACTAGCAGCTCGTGGCTATGGAGAGACAGGGCTTAGTAATTCCTGCGTGTGGCAGTTCTTCCTTTATCCAGAGGTTCAGGAACAATTTTCAGAGTGAAATGGGTCTCTGAATTTTGGGCAAGATCAGGAAAGCCCTGTCCCTGGGAACTAAAGGGATGTTTGCATTTAAAAAATATTTTTAATTTTTGTGGGTACATAGTAGGTGTATATGTTTTATGGGTTACACAAGATATCTTCATGCAGGCGTGCAATACAGTAATCACCACATAAGGGTAGATAGAGTATCCATCACCTCAAGTATTTATCCTTTGTGTTTTACAATTCAATTATATCCTTTTAGTTATTTTTAAAAATGATTTCTAATTGGATCAGAAATTATGATGAGGAAAAGGCCTTAATTATGAGGCTTGTGATATTATCTTTCAGACAGCCTCAGTTAAAAGTTGGAAACTTAACCTTATGAGAAATGAAACCTAAAAAGATGCAATGCAAGGAAAAGAACTGATATCTAACTTCACCTGGAGAGATTTCTTCCCTGCCTGCTGCCTTTCCTACTGATAATGAAGTGTTTTTCTCCCAGCCTTGGTGTTATAGGACTGTGTTTGGAATTCTGAATACTGTTTCCCTTCGCCAGCGGGCTCCTATTGGGTGCTATTATTATGGGCAACTAGAGAGAAACTGAAAGGCTGAAGGAGGAAAAGGAGATCATGGCTTCTTTCTGTTTCTTGATCCTTTCAGGACTATAATAGCAATGGAGCATCACTCTGAATGCAGTAATTGCTTCCAATAGCACCAGGTGGCTCCAGTTTCCATTTGCTTTTTTATATTCTCGTACCAGCCTTGTTGCATCTACCAGGATTACCAACAGTAAACAGATGGTCCTCTCCCCATAAGTCTCAGTCCTAGCTCTGCAGGGGCGGTCCTCTGAGCTCTGGAGGTACTAGGCCATCTAGCAGCTCTCCTTCCTCAGAGATCTATGTCCAGGTCATCAGGATTTTTCTTCCAAGCTTCTAAGTTCTTAGGACCTTTGGATGAGTAGCTGCTTTTGAAGTACCATTTCTTGGTGTCTCACTGTTTGCTTTTTGCCTTAATCCTTTTATCCTATTCACAAATTCTTTATATTAGACCTCCATTAAAATCACGGATGAGTATGACTGTGACTGATATATCTATTTTGTAGGAATGTTTACAGTAGGCCCTAGTGCTACACTGATTTTGCAATAGAGGTGCAGAGCCTGAAGCTTTCATTTTTCACTAAGATACAATGGTAATGTTAACCCATAAGAATTGCCATAGTACAGTTACTAATCAACCAGCTAAACATGCAGAAGGAGGGAAAGAGGTGGAATTATGTAGAGGGGTCATAATTTAATTGTTTTGAACTTCTGGACTGACCTGGCTCTCTAAGGGCCAGCATTTTCCCCATGAAATTCTCTTTATATAAACATTTTACTCCTCCTTCCACTCTCCCACTGTAGGTGCCACTCTATGGTTGCTGGCTTATGTGTATGACTCTAGGACTCCATTTTGTCCTTGAGTCCTATTGGTACTTTTTCTTCTGTTTAAGAGATGGATGAAGAGAAGTGGAATAGGGAAGGAGAGTGGACATAAATTTACTAAGTCATTAGGACGTGGTGCCATTAAGAAGACAAGAGACAAGGTGTCCAGACCACAGATCCATAGTGTGTACATCAAGAAATTCACAGGAGGTACATCTGAGTTAAATCTTGAAGGATGAACTGGAGTTCACATGATAAAAAGGGAAGAGGAGATCGTTTGCTACAACTAGATAATACACATCCAAATATCTGGATAGATGGAGCAAGCCTGTAACATTTTGGCAAATTGTTGAATAGCAGACGGGAAGGGCAAAATTAAATTGGATTTTTGTCATATCTATTTTCCAAGCACACAAGACGTGCTGGGAACTGAATATTGTTTGTATAAAATGTACTTTTAAGTAGGCTTCAGGATATATAAAATTTTAATTGACTTCCATCAAAGTATATATATTTCCCTGTTTACTAATTATTTTGGGTAGATATGTCTTATTTTCCCACTTAGATTTCAATTAGAGACAGTATTAAGTACTATTTTGTATCCATCTAGCAAAACATTACACAGTGACACATAAACAACTTAGTAGATTCATATGAATTTAATAAATAAAAAAATTAATGAAACTTTAAAAACCCTATAACGTGTCATGAAAATCGCCTGTTGAGACCAGTATTCTATTCTGGAGAAAAGCATTTTGTTTTCTTATGTGGTATGGGTCTCAAAAGGTAAGGAATGTACCACTTCATCCAAAGTTCTCAGGATTTCCTTGTAATACATCCTTACCACAATGTGAACATACATTTAGTTAATGATTGAATCAGTAATGATTTTCAAAATATGATTGGAAGACCGATTTTTTTACCTGTCATAGAGGGGTTTGATTTATAGTAAAATAATTTAGTTAATCTTTGCCACTTTGGGGGTGTTGAGCTTCCACACCTGCTTCATAATGGTATCTTCATCTTAACTTGGAGATCACTTACTTGAAGGCAGTGTCCATCTCTAGGTGTGGAAGCCAAAGATGGTTCCTCTTTCTTCATCTTGATAGAATCAGGTGGCAAAACTCTGACACAGACTTGAACAACAGGTGTTCTTTTGTAAGATTTTGGATCTTGAGCAAGTGATAGCACAATACAGAGTCTGTTAGAGTTGTCTGACATCCCCTGGGTATCTTCTGCATAGCCGTCCAGAGCTTACTTGGGACCTGTCAGATTTTCAAGCTGGTCTTCCAGTAGTCCAATATAATTCCAATCAATTCTCTCTCTCTTTTTGCTTCAGATGATCTGTGTCATGTTCTGCTGTTTACAACCAAATGCTGAGATGATATAGATGGTGTTTAAAATACAAGAAAACATACATATCTATGTTCTCTTATATTTTTATCCTCATTTAAACCTGATGGTTTTAAAGAAGTATAAATACTACAAAGTAGAATTTTGACCAACAAAGAGAGTATTTCTGTCTTTAATTTCAACCATCTGTGACAAGTTTCCCACCGGATGCAAAGGTTGTTGACAGGTATTGTAAATGCCTGCAAGTGACACACACATTTTTAGATGGAGATTTCGGGATTTCCCCAGTGAAAGTGATAAGCTATCCAGATGGTGCCTTGATACCACTCAGCAGAGTCCTTTAACGATAACAATTAACAGCTAATTATATTTAATACCTTGAAAGGAGTCCAGTCGCATTTGTTTGATCAGAAATCAATCCCTGGGTAGATCCAGAAGAGAGAAAAGACTTCCAGCACAGCCATCTGGATACTCTTTTCCCTGCCACTTTTGCCACTGAAGAGGGTTTAGGGATGTCCATGGCTCCTCTTGGAATATATATTCTGCGTCTGGAAGCTGTTTAAAGAATGGGCCTTGCTGAATTAAAAAGAGAAAAATTGGTTTTTGTCCCATCAAAGACAAGAGTCAAGTTGGATAAAAATTCTGTTTAGATGGAGAGGACAAGAGAAAAAGCTTAGAAAACCTGCCCTAGACATTTGTGGTGATTCTAGGAGTTATGATATAAAAAAACTATGCCAAAACAAAGTTGGAGCATAACTACTGCAAATGATGAATTCAAAGAAACATATGTTGCTTCTTCCCATATTATAAGCACAATCTCTCTTCACATAGCTTATACACAGGAAATGAGCATTATAATGAAACTTAATCAATTTATAGACTTATAGTTTAATTCTCATAGAAGCTAGTAAGGAACAAACAGCTTTCAATATATGTTATTTACTTCCCATTCAGAGTGCTAACTCTGCCTACTTGACCTGCATAACTAAGGCCAAGCTCTTCCTCACTGGGAAACAACTGAACATGTAGAGATCGTCCATCCAGGAACCATGTCTTGGTGCACCTCATAACTGAGTCCAGAATCTAGATAGTTGAATCATTGTAGGCAGCATATGACTAAGGGGTGAGATGTAATAAAATTATAGTTATCCCCCTCTGGAAATGGCCTCAAAACACAGTGGAGGGCCCTCAAACCCTAAGAGGCCATGTCTGTGTTGTTGAACCCCATGCTTTTGGTCAGATAGCTGATTCAAGCTGGACCAATTAGATTTTATTTCCTGGAAATCTGAATCTTAGAGAAGGGAGGCAGAGAGACTTAGGGGTTTTGGAGCTCGGTCACCAAAATGGCAATACTTTAGAAGAAAAGTTCGTCCTGTATATTTTTATGTGTACTTCAAGCATAGCTTTTTAAAAAGTGTATTTTCATAGGTTCTGATGTTTTTATCTTTTTGTGGGGCTAGAGTTCTACAATTTCAATTTAAATTTCCAAAAATTCTGAAGGTTTGTATCAGTCAATTCAGGATAGGTTAACAGTAACTTCATAGTACATATCCATTAGGGTCAGTTGGGAGCTGTGCTCCATTGATCCTCAAACAGAACCATCTGGAATGATGCCAGTCACTGCAGCACACCCTTAAATACTTCTGTTCAGATTTTATTGGTTAATGCAAGTCCCATAAGCATGAATTCAAGAATGTTAGGGAAACACAGTCCTATTATGTCCTGGAATGACAAAAAGTAGAAATACTGGAAATATTGATGAGTGGCACTAATGTAATATATCAGTTGCAGGATTTTTTGTTTCCTGGTTTATTTATGGTCAGAGAATATTTCCTGTAATCTTTATACTTTATAAATTTGGAATTTATTGGAGTTTGCTTAGTGGTTGAATATATAGTCAATTTTTCTGACTGTTTCATGGACAGGAGGGCATATTGCCTCTGGTTCATGAAACAATGCCCCCTAAAAGAAGGCATATTACCTATATTTGGGGTATAGAAATATATATATATATATATATAAATTACATCTACTTTTTATATATGATACTTATATATGATACTTTATATATAATATTTATATACTTAAAAAATGTTTTCTGTCCATTTGATTTGCTGTCAATTAAGAGAGGAAATGAAGATCTGTGATTTCATTATTATTTTTTTAGAGACGGGGTCTCATTCTGTTACCCAGGCTGGTGCTATCATAGCTCAATACAGCCTCAAACTTCTGGGCTCAAAATAAGTGATTATAGTTGCTTGCCACCACACACAGCTAATTTATTTTATTGTTTGTAAAAGCAGGGTCTTACTTTGTTGCCCAGGCTGGTCTCAAACTCCTGGCTTTGAAGTAATCTTCCCACCTTGGCCTCTAAAAGTGCTGGAATTACAGGCATGAGGCACCGTACCCAGCTTGAATCTGTTATTTTAAATATATTTTCATTTATTGACCTTTGTATCTTCTGTGATTTTTGCTTTATAAATATTATTTAGAGCATATATTTGTAACTTGTATAACTTCATTATAAATTGTGCATTTTATAATTATAAAACACTCTATTTTTATAATTTTATGCATTTTCCCTTGAATTCAGACTTATTTGATACTAAGATCATAAGCACTAATCTCTTTTAGATACATACTTGCCAAGTGTTCTCCCCTACTACTGATAGGTTACTTATGATTTCCATCTGGATCCATTGATTATTCTCTCTTCCTTGAAATATCATTTTTTATTTGTCTTCCAGAATATTATATTACGTAGTTTTTCTTCTACCTCACTAGTTGCTAACTTTTTCTCATCTTATTTTTACTATTTTCTTATCATCTCCCTAAACCTTTAAATTAGTTGGCGTGCTTGAAGGCTCAGTTCCTGAAACTCTTGCCTTCTCTATTTTTACTAATTCTTTTGGTCGATGCCTTTTAGCCACTGGCTTGAATGCCAGCTGTCTTATATCAGTCAAGGGTTCAATCAGAAGACAGATATCATAGCAGTTATTTCTACAGAAGGAATTTAGTATAAAGCATTATTGACTAGGCATACATTTATTGACTATATCACCAGTGACTATTATTTTGAGATATTGGGCCACATTTTCAGCAATTATAGCTTTCAAAGAAAGGGCTAAGTTTGAGCACTTCAAGGTGTCATTTCCCAGTGTAATTTTAATTTTCTCACATGTGAGCTATATTGATGCCTGAGAAAGCACCAAGTGTGTTTGAGTATATAGATAATACCAGCTATCCTCTATGCACTGGCACAAACTCTCTTGCTCCTTTGTTTTTTTTAAATTTTCACTTGTTCACATGCTTTTGGTTAATCCTTACTTGCATTGGAGAGATAAGAGCACAGAGATTTGAGTTTGACCATTGATGTACAAATAAACAAAGTCTTTTAGCCTGCTTTGGTTGTAAGCCCCCAGAATTATCTGGATAAGGTATGAGAGGTCCTACACAAAGTCAATACTAATTTGATAGAGTTTTCTATTAGAGTGTGGAAGAGAGGTCTAGCCAGGAATATGCTCCTTTCTCATGCTCTTCTTTCTCTAAGTCCGTATGTTCCTTGGACATTTTCTTGTCAAAAGCGAAATTGACCAACTATCTTGTTAGAAATATAAATCGGCTTTACTTTGATAAGCAACTTCAGCAAAGTCTCAGGATACAAAATCAATGTGCAAAAATCACAAGCATTCTTATACACCAATAACAGACAAACAGAGAGCCAAATCATGAGTGAACTCCCATTCACAATTGCTTCAAAGAGAATAAAATACCTAGGAATCCAACTTACAAGGGACGTGAAGGACCTCTTCAAGGAGAACTACAAACCACTGCTCAATGAAATAAAAGAGGATACAAACAAATGGAAGAACATTCCATGCTCATGGGTAGGAAGAATCAATATCATGAAAATGGCCATACTGCCCAAGGTAATTTATAGATTCAGTGCCATCCCCATCAAGCTACCAATGACTTTCTTCACAGAATTGGAAACAACTACCTTAAAGTTCATATGGAACCAAAAAAGAGCCCGCATCGCCAAGTCAATCCTAAGCCGAAAGAAAAAGCTGGAGGCATCACACTACCTGACTTCAAACTATACTACAAGGCTACAGGAACCAAAACAGCATGGTACTGGTACCAAAACAGAGATATAGACCAATGGAACAGAACAGAGCCCTCAGAAATAACGCCGCACATCTACAACTATCTGATCTTTGACAAACCTGAGAAAAACAAGCAATGGGGAAAGGATTCCCTATTTAATAAATGGTGCTGAGAAAACTGGCTAGCCATATGTAGAAAGCTGAAACTGGATCCCTTCCTTACACCTTATACAAAAATCAATTCAAGATGGATTAAAGACTTAAACGTTAGACCTAAAACCATGAAAACCGTAGAAGAAAACCTAGGCATTACCATTGAGGACATAGGCATGGGCAAGGACTTCACGTCTAAAACACCAAAAGCAATGGCAACAAAAGCCAAAATTGACAAATGGGATCTAATTAAACTCAAGAGCTTCTGCACAGCAAAAGAAACTACCATCAGAGTGAACAGGCAACCCAAAAAATGGGAGAAAATTTTCGCAACCTACTCATCTGACAAAGGACTAATATCCAGAATCTACAATGAACTCAAACAAATTTACAAGAAAAAAACAAACAACCCCATCAAAAAGTGGGCAAAGGACATGAACAGACACTTCTCAAAATAAGACATTTATGCAGCCAAAAAACACACATGAAAAAATGCTCACCATCACTGGCCATCAGAGAAATGCAAATCAAAACCACAGTGAGATATCATCTCACACCAGTTAGAATGGCAATCATTAAAAAGTCAGGAAACAACAGGTGCTGGAGAGGATGTGGAGAAATAGGAAAACTTTTACACTGTTGGTGAGACTGTAAACTAGTTCCACCATTGTGGAAGTCAGTGTGGTGATTCCTCAGGGATCTAGAACTAGAAATACCATTTGACCCAGCCATCCCATTACTGGGTATATACCCAAAGGACTATAAATCATGCTGCTATAAAGACACATGCACACGTATGTTTATTGTGGCACTATTCACAATAGCAAAGACTTGGAACCAACCCAAATGTCCAACAATGATAGACTGGATTAAGAAAATGTGGCACATATTCACCATGGAATACTATGCAGCCATAAAAAATGATGAGTTCATGTCCTTTGTAGGGACATGGATGAAATTGGAAATCATCATTCTCAGTAAACTATCACAAGAACAAAAAACCAAACACCGTATATTCTCACTCATAGGTGGGAATTGAACAATGAGAACACATGGAAACAGGAAGGGGAACATCACACTCTGGGGACTGTTGTGGGGTCGGGGGAGGGGGGAGGGATAGCATTGGGAGATATACCTAATGCTAGACGACGAGTGAGTGGGTGCAGCACACCAGCATGGCACATGTATACATATGTAACTAACCTGCACATTGTGCACATGTACTCTAAAACTTAGAGTATAATAATAAAAAAATAAATAAAATAAAGAAGTATAAATCGGCATCTTATTTAACACTACTTACAATTTTTCTCTAATGTGTGATTTAAAAGGAGAAAATGTATATGACAATAAGAAATAGTGTTACATTTTGATAATATTTTCTCCTTCCATGATGTGGGATTTTCTTATTGCATTCTCTTCAAAAATCACATAACCGTTTTACTTGTGACCATTTTGTGTATCTTTTTGCTCTTTCTGTATTATCAAAATGCAATTGTTTGCAATCAAATACTCATGAGAATATGACTAAAATAAAATACTGGCCAAATAGATAAATATTAATGATGATATTGATAGTTGTTTTCTTCTGAAGTGCTTTGGTGTATGTTAACTCATTTAAGCCTTATCACAATTTCATGAAATATTCTGAGCAAGTGTTATCCTCTTGTTTTTACAATCAATGACACTGAGGCCTAGGGAGTTTAAATGACTTGCTCAAGGTTGTAGTTTAGTCTTTTCTTTTTTCTACATTGTTGTGAGACCCAAGCACTCTATAGTTGCCATTATTAATTTCTATCTTTAAATTCAAGTGGACTCGAGAATCTTTTGCTGGTTAAACTATTTTTATTTCTGCAACAACAGAACAGAGTTTGACTCACTGAATTGGCCTTTATGAAAGTTAATGAGGAATTAAGCTGCCTGAGAGACTTGAGGTGAAAGATTTCTCCAGGTCTTTTATACCCTGTAAACATACAGCAGGTAGAGAGCAAAACTTACCTTTGTACCTTGTCAGATGCAGGGGAGGAATTAATAAACACAGAGGAAGGAATTGCCTGCTGGGTGCTTTTACTGTTTAAGAGCTTCCAGTAATTGTCACACTTCTGTCTTTACTTCATTCTTGTACAGAGTGTACCTTTTATTCTCTAATCATCTTCTGTCAGTGATTATACACCTGTGGTCTCAGGGCCACACTTTGCCAACAGGAGGTATACAAGGAAGCAGAGAGAATATCTCACTGACTTAGGTGTAGTGTTTCTTTACTGTTTCTACTCATGAATGCCTCTGCTTCAAATTCTCTAAGCTGTTGGATTCTGTACCTCCTTTGACCTTCAAGATGCTGTTGATCTCTCCAGCCTTGCCTAAAACCACGGAATTAACCCATTTTCTCCTCTCTCCTGACCTCAGATTTGTTTTAGGATTCTCAATTTGCAGGACTTGTTGGGTTCCTGACCCATTGCCTCCTCTGTTATCAGGTTCACATCTGACTGCTCAAATTGGTTGAAATTAAAAATTCTTCATTCTGCCTCTGTCTGATGATCTCTGCCCCATCTATGCTTGGGAATTATACTTTATGCTTTAGTTTTTTATTCTGCATTTTTTTTATTCTGCATGTTCAACGGAGAGCATGATTCTCTATTGTAAGCTCTCAGGGTTATTTAAATTAGTTACCTGAGAGTGGACATGAAACTTAGTAAAACCCGAAATGATTGGAACCATGGGAAGCATGTGATGTTTTTTTCTGAGGAGGAAACACATAATGAGAGTTCTGTCTTTTAGGAAATGCACTTTTCCAGATTCAGTTTATATCAGTTCAAATCTGGAAAATAATCTATCACCTTAAGAGTGAGGTTTCATACCCTTTCCCGTTCTCCACCCAATAGCTATGGAAAGGGGAAGATCCCAGAGAACTTGGATAGGAAAGGTGAAGTCAGAGCAGTGCTTCAGCCCCACAGGGCAGTAAGGGCAGCCTTCCTCTAAATACCAGATTCCCAAATCTGGCTGTGCTTTCAATTTGGGAGTTGGACATACTGCTAAACTATAATTTCTTAGGCCGTACCTAAAATATATTATGGAAGCATAGCCTGGAAATCTAAATTTTTAACAGATTCTCCAAATGATTCTGATGCAGTGGGTCAAAAGATTGATATTTGAGAGCCACCGCTCTTAGAAACTGGAGGTAACAATTATGCAGATCATAATTGAGAGTAAAAAAACATCTTACAAGATACAGTTGATAAAGACTCTGTATTTAAATCAGTCTGACAAAAGAGCTATTGAGAGGGGAGAGAGAATTCTCTTCAATTCTTTATGAACTCTTTGATACAAGAAGCTGAGCAACCTCCATAACTAATTGTTAGAGTATGAAACCTGAAAGAAGAGGATCCATGAATCATGACAAAATCAAAACAGTTGACAGACTAGAAGAGATGTATTTTCCTTATCGACACCTAGCTAATGGCTTCACCATTGTCCTACTGAAGATGGATTGAAAGTTAATGTTGGACTCACCGTGTTTCGTAGCTTATGTTTATCATGCTTGTTACATCTTTATTGTTCTTTTCTTATGGTGTGTGTTTCATAGTTCTTCGTTCATCACGCTATTTCATCATCAGTGTCTTCTTTTTAAAAAGATGAAGTCCCAAAGTTACATATTCTTCAGCTATTTTTATAGACACATAAATCACAACTGGGTTTGACTTTAGTGACAAATGTAGTCAATAATCTGATATTCAGAGTGGGAAAAGTAGAACAGTAGCTTCTCTTAACTTCTTAACTTCTTAAGTTACAAAGTTGTAACTTAAGACTGGCTTCTATCTAGGCATGCTCAGGGGTGATATTCAAAAAGTAATACAAATTAATGTGTAAATAAAATGCATTTAAAATTCTGTTCTCTAAATTAGACATGTGTATGACACACATCTATAATTATACAATTGCTTACTTAGTTATATAAATCATTCATCCAATTTAATAATTTTCAAATCAGTTATTGATTTATTTAGAAGTCAATAATATAATCTTTTGTTTATCATTTCACTAAGTTTCTCCTGTCTGAGTCCAGATTTAATATTGTGAGCCACATAGCAGTGTTCCAATGACTTCTCCAATAGGTAGTTCCCTTATGTGTCTGAAAATATTAAATGGAAAATTCCAGAAATAAACAATTCATATGTTTTAAATTGCACACTGTTCTGATTAGTGTGATGAAATCTTGTGCCATCCTGGGCTGTCCTGCCCGGGATGTTAATCATCCCTTTGTCCAGTATGTCCACACTGTATAAGCTACCTGCTCATTTGTTGTCAATACTGTCTGCTCCAGACATCCAACCATCTACCCTATCATGGCTCCATCAACCAGACTCACCCAAAGCAGATGCTCCTCCTTCTGATGTATCATTACAGGGTCAGTAGTAGTCTAACACTGTGTCACAATGCCTACATCATTCACCTAACTTCATAGCATCACACAGTCGTTTTATCATCTCACATCATCACAAAAAATGAGTACAGTAAAATAAGATATCCTGAGAGAGAAAAAGAGAAAGACCGCGTTCACATAATTTGAATTATAGTATAATTGTTCCATTTTAGTATTACTGTTGCTAATCTCTTACGCACCTAATTTATACATTACACTTTTTTTTCTTTGTTTTTTTTTTTTTATTTTTTTTTGAGATGGAGTTTTGCTCTTGTCACCTAGGCTGGAGTGCAATGGTGTGATCTCGGCTCACTGCAACAACTGCCTTCTGAGTTCAAGCGATTCTCCTGCCTCAGCCACCCAAGTAGCTGGGACTACAGGTGCCTGGTACCATGCCCAGCTAATTTTTGTATTTTTAGTAGTGACGGGGTTTCACCATGTTGGCCAGGCTGGTCTTGAACCCCTGACCTCAGGTGATCCACTCGCCTCGGCCTCCCAAAATGCTAGGATTGCAGACATGAGCCACCACAGCCAGCCAAATTTATAAATTAAACTTTATCATAGGTATGTATGTAAGTATAAGAAAAAAACATGGCATATGTAAGTTTCAGTACTATCCACAGTTGCAGACATCCACCAGAGGCTTAAAACATATCCCCCATAGATAAGGGGGATAAGAGCTACAGTAAATGGAAAGTGGATAGGTACCTGGCACCTGTTACTTTTGTGTCTTTTGTGCTGGCTGCCCTGCCTTCATGTGCATATCCGGAGAGCCTGAGTTTCAATCAGACTGTGGCTATCACTGTCATCAACTAGTGATGACAATGTTGCTGCCAGTGTGCTACTGCTTCTGCCATCTGCTCTGCTACTTTGTCCTTGCAAATCTTGAGCTACTTTAAAATAGCAGGTGGGATCAGAAAATGCCACTGGCACTGTTGCTGCCACCAGCTCAGCAGCCACCACGAATGTCCCATGTCTATACTGGCAAGACTTGCATTCTCAATTTCCTACCTTTGTTGATGCTATGCAAGATTATTAGATGGTGTTTTTCCTCAGTAACCTATGTGGCAGAATTTTAGATTTCAGTATAGCATGACTATACTGTTGTAAACTGGTTGAATAGCAGTTCTAGGTATACTACCTCTGTCAGTTCAAAGGAAGTTCAGCTGCATGTAACAGATATGTAAACAAACTAGACATTTACTTTTTTTTTTTGTGGGACAGTCTAGAGATAGGCAGTTTGGGGCTAGTATAGTGGCTTGATTAGTTTATACAATCTCAATTTTTTTCTTTTGATGTTATTTCATCCATGACATTCGGTTCATGGTCCAAAATAGCTGCTCAAGCTCAAGTCCTCATGTCATATTCCAGCCTTCAGGAAAGAGGAAAATGGAGAGGAGAGAGATGTGATGTTTCCTTTAAGAAGACTTCACAGGAGCCTCACACAATATATGTCACATGTAGAAGCAAGGTAGGCTGGAAAATGGAGTCTTTAGGATGCCAAGTTTCTAGCTCATAATCAAGGTGATAGCTAAAGACTAAGTTTGGAGACAATTTGCGTCCTGTTACATCTCTCTTTAAATCATGCCCCTGTTTCCTTAAGGTTGATAGAAAAAGCACAAAGAAATGAAGATACAGATGGAAAATATGGAATGCTCATTCAAGCTACAGTTTCAAAGCATTTTGATTCTGGGTCATGAACTTTTGAAAACATTTTTTTCCAATGCCCATATCAGAAAGCTAGAAAGATCTCAAATTGACACCGTAACTTCACAATTAAAAGAGCTGGAGAAGCAAGAGCAAACAAATCCAAAAGCTAGCAGAAGAGAAGAAATAACTAAGATCAGAGCAGAACTGAAGGAGCTGGAGACACAAAAACCCTTCAAAAATCAATAAATCCAGGAGCTAGTTTTTTGAAAAAATTAACAAAATAGACCACTAGCTGGCCAAATAAGAAAAGAGAAGAATCAAATAAAAAATGATAAAGGGGATATCACCACTGACCTCACAGAAATACAAACTACCATCAGAGAAAACTATAAACATCTCTAAGAAAATAAACTAGAAAATCTAGAAGAAATGTATAAATTCCTGGACACATACACCCTCCCAAGACTAAACCAGAAAGAAGTTGAATCCCTGAATAAGCCAATAACAAGTTCTGAAATTGAGGCAGTAATTAATAGCCTACCAACCAAACACAAACAAACAACAACAACAACAACAACAAAAATACAAAATACAAACAAACCCCAGGACCAGGTGGATTCACAGCCGAATTCTACCAGAGGTACAAAGATGAGTTGGTGCCATTCCTTCTGAAACTATTCTAAACAATTGAAAAGGAGGGACTCCTTCATAACTCATTTTATGAGGCCAGAATCATCCTGATACCAAAACCTGGCAGAGACACAACAAAAAAAATAAAACTTCAGGCCAATATCCCTGATGAACATTGATGCAAAAATCCTCAATAAAATACTAGAAAACTACATCAAGCAGCACATCAAAAAGCTTATCTACCGTGATCATGTCAGCTTCATCCTTGGCATGCAAGCCTGGTTGAACATATGCAAATCAATAAATGTAATCCATCACATAAACAGAACCAAAGACAAAAACCACATGATCATCTCAATAAATGTAGAAAAGGCCTTCAATAAAATCCAACATCCTTCATGTTAAAAACTCTCAATAAACTAAGTATTGATGAACTATATCTCAAAATAATAAGAGCCATTTATGACAAACCCACAGTCAATATCATACTGAATGGGCAAAAGCTGGAAGCATTCCATTTGAAAACCAGCACAAGACAAGAATGCCCTCTCTCACCACTCTTATTCAACATCGTATTGGAAGTTCTGGCCTGGGCAATCAGGCAAGAGAAAGAAATAAAGGGTATTCAAATAGGAAGAGAGGAAGTCAAATTGTCTCTGTTTGCAGATGACATGATTCTATATTTAGAATACCCTATCATCTCAGCCCCAAAACTCCTTAAGCTGATAAGCAACCCCAGCAAAGTCTCAGGATACAAAATCGATGTGGAAAAATCACAAGCATTCCTATACACCAACGATAGACAAGCATAGAGCCAAATCATGAATGAACTCCCATTCACAGTTGCTACAAAGATAATAAAATACCTAGGAATAAAGCCAACAAGGGATGTGAAGGACCTCTTCCAGGAGAACTACAAACCACTGCTCAAGGAAATAAGAGAGAACACAAACTAATGGAAAAACATTCTAACCTCATGGATAGGAAGAGTCAATATCATCAAAATGGCCATACTGCTTGAAGTAATTTATAGAGTCAATGCTATTCCCATCAAACTACCATTGACATTCTTCACAGAATTAAAAAAAACTACTTTAAATTTCATATGGAACCAAAAAAAGAGCCTGTATAGCCAAGACAGTCCTAAGCAAAAAGAACAAAGCTGGAGGCATCATTCTACCTGACTTCAAACTGTACTACAAGCCTACAGTAACAAAAACAGCATGGTACTTGTACCAAAACAAACATATAGACCAGTGGAACAGAACAGAACCTCAGAAGTAACACCACACATCTACAACCATCTGATCTTTGACAAACCTGACAAAAACAAGCAATTGGGAAAGAATTCCCTATTTAATAAATGGTCCTGGGAAAACTGGGCTAGCCATATGCAGAAAACAGAAACTGGACCCCTTCCTCAAACCGTATACAAAAATTAACTCAAGGTGGATTAAAGACTTAAATGTAAAACACAAAACCATAAAAGCCCTAGAAGAAAACCTAGGCAATACAATTCATGACATAGTCATGGGCAAAGACTTCATCACTAAAATGCTGAAAGCAATTGTAACAAAAGCCAAAATTAACAAATGGAATCTAATCAAACTAAAGAGCTTCTGCACAGCAAAAGAAACTATCATCAGAGTGAACAGGTAACTTACAGAACGGGAGAAAATTTTTGCAATTTACTCATCTGACAAAGATCTAATTTCCAGTATCTACAAGGAACTTAAACAAATTTACAAGAAAAAAACAGACAACCCCATCAAAAAGTGGTCAAAGGATATGAACAGACACTTCTCAAAAGAAGACATTTATGCGGCCAACAAACATGAAAAAAGCTCACCGTCACTGGTCACTAGAGAAATGCAAATCAAATCCACAAGGAAGTATCATCTCATACCAGTCAGAATGGCAGTTATTAAAAAGTCAAGAAACAATAGATGCTGGCAAGGCTGTGAAGAAATAGGAATGCTTTTACACTGCTGGTGGGAATGTAAATTAGTTCAACCATCGTGGAAGACAGTGTGGTGACTCCTCTAGGATATAGAACCAGAAATACCATTTGACCCAGGAATTGCATTACTAGATATATAGCCAAAGGAATATAAATCATTCTACTATAAAAACACATGCACATATATATTTATTGCAGCACTATTTACAATAGCAAAGACATGGAACCAACCAAATACCCATCAATGATAGACTGGATAAAAAAAATGTGGTACATATACACCATGGAACCCTATGCGGCCATAAAAAGGAATGAGATCATGACCTTTGCCGGGACATGGATGAAGCTGGAAACCATCATCCTCAGCAAACTAACACAGGAACAGAGGACCAAACACCACATTTTCTCACTCATAAGTGGGAGGTGAACAATGAGAACACCTGGATACAGGGAGGGAAGCAATGTACACCGGGGTCAGTCAGGGCATGGGGGTCAAGGGGAGGGAAAGCATTAGGAAAAATGGTTAATGCCTGTGGAGCTTAAAACCTAGATGAAGGGTTGATAGGTGCAGCAAACCACCATGGCATGCGTACACCTGTCTAACAAACCTACCCGTTCAGCACTTGTATCGGGGAACTTAAAGTGAAATAACAAAACAAAAGAAAACATTTTTTTAGGAGCAATTTTCTTCCGTCAGTGCTCTAAAAGATCTGCATTCTGTAGTCCTTCCCTCAAAGAAAGCCTTGCCCTGGACTTGAATGCTAATTATAATCATTACAATATTTTCAGTGTATGTACTTTGAAAGCTTTATGGGAAGGAAATGGAGACCTGCAGTTCTGGATATGGCTGAGTGTGTCTGGTGTGCTGAAGAGAGTCAAAATGAGAGTAATATTGAGTATACAGTTGTTGACCCAGACCCATCATTCTAGATATATCAAATTGTGAAGCTTTTGTGTTTTTTTTTTTGAGATGAAGTTTCTCTCTTGTTGCCCAGGCTGCAGTGCAATGGCACAATCTCGGCTCACCACAACCTCCGCCTCCCGGGTTCAAGCAATTCTCCTGCCTTAGCCTCCCGAGTAGCTGGGATTACAGGCATGTGCCACCACTCTGGCTAATTTTGTATTTTTAGTAGAGATGAGGTTTCTCCATGTTGGTCAGGCTGGTCTTGAACTCCTGACCTCAGGTGATCCACCTGCCTTGGCCTCCCAAAGTGCTGGGATTACAGGCGTGAGACACAGTGCCAGGCCAAGATTTTACAAGAAACTACATTTTCCAAAGATTGTCATTCTGAAGAAGAAAAATGATAAGAATAAATTTATATACATGAGCATATCAGACATTTTCAAGAAGTTCTCTTACTTATGTGTTTTAATCGCCTCCTATTCACTCAGTTGGTGACAGAGGGATTCCCACCCTAAGGTTATGGGGATGGCTGAAGATATGACACTTGACACTAAAAAGATGAAATGGACAGCATTTATTAGTCACATACATTCACAGCTTGCAGGGAGGAGGACACCATATGTCATCCAGGGTCACACAGGGGTTGGACTCAGAAACAGAATGAACAGCCAGGGGCTGCAGAAGGCAGATTTTGTAGAATTAAAAGGGTGATGTGTCCCCTGGTTCCTGTGGAAGATGTGATCAGCTTGTTTGAATGATTCTACAAGTTGGCAGGAAATTGAAACCCAATACTCAGGAATAAGCAGAAACTGTGTCTGGTGCCTTTGATAAGGAGGGCCATTTGGCTAGGAAATCTTATCTGTAGGAGCAGGTTTGGGAGGGGACATAGCAGTTAGGCTATTCAAAGCCCTTCTGATTTCACCAGATGTCAAGGCAGTACATAATATTGAGCCTCAAGTTTAGACCTTACATCACATACTGAAGATTTACTGGGCAGGGGTTTTCCTTCTGCTTCTCATTGGAGATATATTTAAACAGGGAGACTAGGATCTTTGTAACTTTTCCCCTTGTTTAAGTACAGTGGCCATTCAGTGCTTGACTAAATTTCCTTTTCTATGAAAAGTATATTAATATTTACAAAAATCCAAATTGATATTGTATTACATAAAGAGAAAACATTATATCACTATTTTTTTTTCGCTCTCAAAGGACAGGTCAGCAACAGGACAGCCATCACCATGAAGCACGTAGGGACTTTTGCAGTATGTGTCTCTGGCAAAAGAAAGAAAGCTGGACTGGGGTAGGGAAACTGACATAGCTCTGGAATTGGCCCACAATGGATATGATTGAACAATTCAACTGGAGTATCCAAAAACGTATGACAGGGGCAGATATATTTTAGGATTGACATTTATATCCTTGGGAGTAAGCATCAATGATAGTTTCCATCATGGGTGATTTCCAAACTCAGGCAGGTGGTAGTACTTTGACAATGGGTAGTTAATCCAATGGTTCAGGTCAAAGGGAAAAGTCCAGTCCTTGGTGGTGATCTGAAAGATATTTGCTATAGCATCACAGTTAGTGCTTCTTGCCTAGCAGGAAACACTGGCAATGCTCAGCGACTGAGGATTGGATGATCCCAGCAGGTAATGGACCAAAAAGCTTAGTGAGAGTTTTGGGTGTCCAGGTTTTATCAGAAACTTTTTTTTCTTTTAAAAAGAATTGAATGGAATCCCCCTCCTGATATGCCCGATTTTCTTTTATTATATTAGTGATACAAAATGTAATTAAACATATTTTCTTCTTTTAGAATTTTACTTTTTAAAAATATCTGTCAATTGTATGGGGAAAATATCCATGCTTGTTTGGAACATAGAACCTGTTCTGAGATGAGTTAGGCTTATTTGACAAACAACATTAATTGATCACCTACTATAATTTAGACATTGAACTACATGTTAAAAGTCCTATAAAGAAATATACATGACTGTCCTCCTTTCTATGCTCATAAAAAATTGAAAGTAAAGTAGCATGTTCAAAGTTCCATGAAAATTGCTATGCAGTGCTTTAGAAGTGAAAGAGCAATATATTATGTTGGTCTGATAAAAGAAAGAAAAATCATAGGGGAACCAGTATTAAGATGAGACTTGAAAGATGAGTAGAATTTTTTTTTAAATGTAGCTTATTTTTACACAAGATAAATATGTACTCCAAATAAAATATTTCTAAACTCTGAAAATAGAAAATAAAATAGAAAAATAATGTCATCACTTTTGATCACTACTGATAACATTTTTATGTGTTTACTGTTGTCTTGTACTTTACCTATAATTCTCTAATTTGCATTTTCCAAATTCTTAAAAGCCTCTAGGATATATAGATTTCATAAAATATATGTGCCATAATTTAAATTACTACCCACTCAGACAATTTGAACTTTATATAAATGTACACAAATTTATATGGATAAGTTAATCAAATGGCAAATGGCAGATTACCTTTTTTTTCCTTTTTTTAGACAGAGTCTCCCTCTGTCGTCCAGGCTGGAGTGCAGCTGCACAATCTCGGATCACTGCAATCTTTGCCTTCTAAGTTCAAGCGATTCTCATGCCTCAGCCTACTGAGTAGCTGGAACTACATGCATGTGCCACCACGCCCGGCTAATTTTTGTATTTTTTTCAGTAGAGACGGGATTTTACCATGTTGGCCAGGCTAGTCTCGAACTCCTGACCTCCAGTGATCCGCTCGACTTGTGGACCGCAAAGTTGTCGGAGCTGTCACAATTACACTTCATCATGCTTAGGCCTCTTGTCAGTTGAAATACTGTGTTAGCTATAGGTGTCGAAATGTTCAGTAAGTTTTTGTTCCTTTTGACTTTCCGTGGTCATTTACTATAGTGATTTAGGGTGAAGTTAGCCTAGGGCAGGTATTTGGAGCAATAAAGCACTGTCCTCTGGAAGATTTACTAGTTTCTTACCTGTTTATTCCTCCTCTCACACTGACACCACAGGAATGTGGTGTAAGGCACACATTAGAGAAGCTATTCTAGGATACAAGGCGATAGGATTGAGATACGGAGATGACAGTGAAGATGAAACATGAAAGATTAAGGAGAATCAACATAACAGATAAATGAACAGAGATCAGAACAAATGGTAAAAAATCAGTAACTGAAGTCATAGCTACACAAAACTTTCCTAAACTGAAGAAAGCGTTGAGTCTGCAGAATAAGGGGTCTCACTGAGAAGCAGGCAGCATTGATGAAATGAAACCAGTATTTAGACATATCATGCTGAGGTATCTAAATTTCACAGGATAAATAAAAAATATTCCACAAACATCCAAGTAAGAAAAATCAGATTATTTGTGTAAGAAAAAAAAATTAAGTGCGTCTAGGATTTCTTTGTTGCCAGATGGCAATGCTAGAAGCAATATATATGGTGGTGAGGGAGAGGATGACAATGTTATTGACTAAAGATCCCACCTGTGAGCATATTGCCTCCTTTGTGCAGTGGCAGCAAAAACACATTCCACAATATGCAAAACTCAGAAAATGTACTACACAAGCTTCATACCTGATATTACTCAGAGATAGCCTCTAAATGAGAAAAAATTATATCACCATTAAAAAACCCTTTGAGAACAGTGAATCTGTATTGTAGAAACACTGGTAGTGAGTAGTAAAACCAGTTAAATGATAAATATAAGTAATTATACTGATTACCAACATAATCAAAAGATAAATTTTAAAACAAATTTTAAAGATAAGATGAATAATGTAAAGTATTAAAATGTAATAATAAAAATCTAGGTATAAAATTTTAGATCAGTGAGTGAAATAGAAGCATAAATGGTAGAGTAGTATTGATTTTATATGCATTTTTATATGTAACCACCCTGATGATTAGTTTATTAAGTTCACTTATTTGTGTTTTTCGGTACACAATTACTTCAGCTATAGTTGTTCATGATATTATATATTCCTTTATAGTGGTTTTATCTCTTAGTTCTGATGCTATTTTTTAAAAACTGTTTTTGCAGAAACAAACACAAATGCTACTGGAACAGATCAACAAACTCTGCATCCCAAAACTCCTGGTTACCAAGATTGGCTCATTCTCTTCTTTGTTGTTAGGCCCAGTCAGTCTCATAATTATCACTGGCAAGGCTGTTTCTGGCCTGAAGGATCCAGAATACATTCCTAATGCTTGATTTCCTAGGACTTCGAAGGTATTCAGAGGCAGTCGGCTTACAGACTGCTCAGTGTGGTGAAAATATTCCCTTTGATTGTTAATTAGTTCTTTGACTGCATTAACAACGTCAATCTAGCAAATGTCAATGCCGTATTGAGAACATAACCCTATTTCACTTATGCACTTGTTGGCAATTTTAGAAGCATATAATGGTCACTGCTGTCTTGGTCTGTGAGTGAAATGCTGTCCTCATTAGGAACCAGACAATGCATTTAAAACAGCAGGAAGAAAACTAAGATTCGTCCCCCAAGCACTTTTGCTGTGGAGGCAAGTTGCTTTCCTTGTTCTGATCAGAGGGTCTCATAGGCCTTGCCCACATGGGTCTGCACTGTGCTGCTTCTCCATCAGCATCCCTCCATTGAGCTCTCTCCTGTTTAGTTACGGTCATTGTTGTCTCCTCTGAACCCAGACTTAGAGTCACACAGCTTTTTCCTTTCACAGATTGTTTGATTCTCCATCTTCCTTTACTATTGATCTAAGTGATCGCTGTAGTCGGGACCACTTAGCTTTTTAAATGCAGTGTCTGTCCTGTTCTTAATTTCTAGAGCTGACTCTGACTGGAGACAGGAGGTACTGAAACAGTTCTACCTCCAAATTTTTTCCATTTGCAGTTAGTCTGAACCTTATGCCCAACTTCTCTTACCTGGAGTCCTGATCTCATAACAAGGGTTTTGGGTTTTGATAATCTGCCATGTTTCTCAGGTACTGTAATGCTACCATGCTCTCTCAGGAGCCCTGCCCTAAATCCCGTGTTGGTGGCTGAGCCCTGACTTCCCTGACACTAATGATTCCAGGCCTCCCAGGAAGTCCTGCCTCTGTGCTCTGCCAACCTATTGTGATACTCTGCTGCTTCCTTTTGAAGGTTTTCTGTTTAATACGCATGTGGATTGGGGCCTGATATTATCATATCCTTCTTCTCCACTTGAGTGTTTTGTTCTTTGTTGTATAGCATGGCTCTTCACATGTGTAGCTTTTTTGGGTCTCAGCTGAGTGATTGTGGTGCTTAGCAAGGTCTCTCCATTCTGTCTGGGCCAGAATTCCAAAATTCCCAGCACTGTATAACATCTGCCATCTCAGTTCAGCATTAGGTCCCAGAGCCACTATTTCTCTTAGGCCTTACAGAATTTTGCCTTGCACATATGCAGCCCAGCTTCTCCTAAAGACCCTTGGGGAAACCCGTGCCTATTTCTTTATGTAGCTCCTTCCTTTCTAAAGCCCTGCTCAGGAAATTCCAGCCACCTCAGCACCCTAATCTCCAAATTCTGCTTTCTCAGCTTAGCAAGACCATTGCTTTCTGCTGGGGTTTCAACTCCCTGCTTCACCACTGGGAAATTTTCCCTGAGGGAGAAAGCCAGGAAAAATGTGGGATTCTCCACATGTGCCTTTCTTCTCTCAAGAATCAAAGTCCTGTTTGTAGATTAATGCCCAAAAATAGTTATTTAATATATTTGGTACATTAATAAGGTTGCTTTTTATGGGAGGGTAAAGTCTGAATCCAGTTATTCTGCCATGGATGGAAGTACCAAATTTTGTGGGTTTTTAAAAATTGATAATGTAGAAAAGCTTCTGGTAGTTTCACAACTTGATATTGGTTATGTCAGGTGCATTTTTAGGAACTGTCAAATTTGGGAACTTCTATACAATTCATATATTCATATATTTTTCATATATGAGGTAAATGTAACTCCAACTAAAATTCCCCTCAGCCAGGGCCACAACTACCCTAATATCTCCAGGCAAGAGGCAGAGTGGGATGGAAGGAATCAGAGGGTAGACAGAAGTCTTCACTGACTATTTTTACAATATTTTACTTTTGAAAGTTTTACAGAAATTGAGGATCATGTAAATACCGTGTTGGTTTCTTGTCCAGACTTTGGAAGGGATTTGTGCAAAAGACGGGCCCTTAAATTGCATTAGCTTCATGGCTGGGGAGCTGGGGTGCATGCTTCTTTTATCATCTGCTGACCAAGGATTTCTGCCTTTGCTACTTGCCATGTTTGTGAAGTCTCCTACCCTTTGTCCAGATTCTGAATCTGGAACTTTCTTGGTTCCAAACAACTGAATATTTTCTCACATATTTTTGATACATCGTTTTTAGTCGTTTTCTTCCCCCAAATGACCAAAGCCAGCTTCTGATATCTTTTTAAAACAGTAATTCAGGTAGATGATAAACTATCACACAAATCCTTTGTCTTACTTTTCCAAACAGATCTCTGAGAGTCCAGCTACCTCAGAATAGAAGAGCCTTGTGCTGTTGCTGGGAACCCAAAGATTTTGACAGTGAAATAAATTGTGTTGGGGCCCTCAGGGTATTTTTATTAAAGTAAGATTATACGATGCATTGTAAGAGCAGAGATTATACATCCTGAAAAACAGTCTTTTACAAATATAACGATTATATTATTTTGGCATGCTTTTGACACCCATTTGTGAAACTGAAGTTAGTTACTTAAACTTATTTGATTTGAGAAATTTTACATTATCTCTGGGATTAAAACCCAAAGATGATAAATGTTGAATTTAAAAAGCATTGTGTTAATTCATCATTTAGTTCAAAGACTGTCATATGGAGATATTTTCTTTCAAATTGAGAAGCCATTATCTACACATACATAAGCATTTTCTTCTATAATGTAAGCTTGATATGGTATGATAGTCTGATAGATTTTAATTTCCTTGGATTAGTTAATGTAGGCTTTCCTAGATAGAGATGAAAATATTATTTATATTATAATCTACTTGAAATAACATGGATTTAGAAATTCTTCCTTTGATAGTGGAAAAACCCTGAAAGATCACTTAATTAAAAAGTTACAAATTAGTAGATAACCCATTGCTTATATAGAAAAGGTAGGTTGGGGGATTTATATACAGTTTTAGTTCTCTGATTTGATTATTCTACAATGTTATACCTATATTAAAAGATCACATTGCACCCATAAATATACACAATTATTATTTGTCAATTAGAAATAAAGCTTAAAGAAATTCAGATTTACAGTGATTATTTCTAAATTTATTGGTGAACTTTTCATGTATCAGATTTGTTTATATATCAGAAAATATCTTTGAGGAGGCACATGAAAATATTACTTTTCTTAATTAAAAAAGTAAAAAAAATCACTATTTCATCAAAGATACATAAAATAATTTTTTTTAATTAAAATTTGGCATTCCCAGAGTAGCGACCTAGATAACTTATCTTAGAGCAGAAGTTTACAACTCTGTTGAAGTGATATTTTTTATTCTTTATATCTTTCCAACCCATGAAACTTTTTAGAAAAGTTAGTCAATAACGTGGCATTGACTCTGTTTGACTGTGATTGACCTCTCTTACTTATGGCATAATATCTATTTGTTTCATTCCACAGAACTCACAGCTGGAATCACCCAAAAGCAGCAGCAGGGAAGTTTCCACAAGGGAGTACCCCAAACCATCCCCGGATGAGGCCAGTTAGGATTCTAAAGAAAGAAGCACTAAAGGCCAGGGTGATCAGCCCAAATCTTTATTAGGGAAACTTACAGAGTGCTGCAGCAATGCTCCTGACAAATAGTAAGAGAAAAGGAGTGTTCTGCCCGCATATAAACTCCATTATCTGACCCCCTCGCATGTCCACAGTGAAGGGGTCAGGATATGGGAGTTTCTATGCAGGTTTAAGGAACCATATTCCTTATTCCATATTCCTTAAGGAAATATATTCCTGGCTCAGGGCCATGGCTAGTTTCTTTCAGTGTTTTGTGCAACAATCTAGGTACCATTATCAGTCCCGAGGTGTGTTCAAGGCCCCAATCCGAGTTCAAGCCTGCTGGAAAAAAACTTGCAGCCGGCTGGGTCACAGACCAGTCAAGACACTCTGTGATTTTCAGTCAGGACACAGACAGAAAGCAGGGGGCCTCGGGGACCCTACACCATTCTTCACCTTTCTGGGGTTTCTTTGGAAAGACTCATCTCTTATTTTCATTGTGAGATTCAGGGGAGATTACCTCTACCACTGGCTCCATGGTGGATCCCTAGAGGCTTTAGTCAACCAACATGTTTTCCTCTCGCTTCCTAACCACACAGTGTAGTCAAGACATTTCTGTGCCTTGAAAGAGAAACCGATTCCTCTTACCCTGGATAGTGCGGTGTGAAGTTGCAAGATCTGGAACTGCTGTAGCCATTTTACTCTTGTGAGGAGAGAGCCTGGAACTGCCTGCTGAACGGAGCAGGGATTACTGTGTGGAGACTAGGCATGGAGCCAACATCGTAAAAGCCAAAAGTAAAAGATGAAGAGAAGTTGAGCCCTTGATGACAAGTCTGTGGTGTTGTTTCAAGCTTTTCTCGAAGCCAGAAATCTCTCTGAACTTTGAAGCACTTAAGCCAGTGCTTTTGTTTATTATTAAAGCCAGTTGAAGTTGGTTTTCTGACATGTGCTCACAGATGATTCATCACAAATACAAAATTTGTTGCTTAGAATAGGGAGTCATAAGTGATAGACTCCCATATATGCATTTGATGGAGCTAAAGTTAAGTGAAAGTCAGAAAGAAAATGAGTAGATTTGATAATGGGAAACCAAACAGCAAGTTAAATTGTCATTTAATTGTACTTGGAACCCAGAGCACATACAGACTAGGTTATAGTTTTAGGTAATCTGAAAGATAAAAATTCAGGATATTGGAAAGAGTTCTCCACTTATTGAAATATGGTCCCATAAAACAAGAGCCAAGCTTAGGGTGAAGCTGGGTTGTTGTAGTACAGAAAAGGAACAAAGGTCCTTTCTGCCTGCAGCCTGCAATCCAAGGTGATAAATGAGTAATAACCATAAGGCAGAGAGGAGGGAAATATAGCAGGAGACATAGTGGGGCTGGAAAAAGCCTAGTCTCCTAGGTGCCTCTGAAACATTCCTGATGAACAAAGAGGTCGTTATTCCCATGGAGAAGATGTGGACAGAGCACAGTAAGAGTGTATGCTTTGGAGCCAGGCTTACTCAGTTTGAATCCCAGCTTGGCTATCTATTAACTGAGTGACTTTTCCAATGTCAGTCAGGGAAAGTCACCTAAATTTTCTGTGCCTCAATTTTCTTATCAGTAAAATGGGAATGATAATAACTTCAAAACCTTTTGTGAAAAGTAAGTTAATTTATGTGAAGTGCTTAGAACAGTGCCTTATATATAATAAGTGCTATGTAGCCTATGGACAATAGAAAAATGACACCTCCCACTTACCCCAGTCTGTCATTTGGAATTGCCCTAAGTCAGGGGCCAGTATAGAGCCTATTTCCCTGGGGTGTAGGTAAAGGCCAAAGAACTGAGACCTGCAGTATCAGACCTTTGTGGTAGGTTTTTGACAAAGACTCAAAAGGTCTTTGGATTTGGTTAATTAGTTGATGAACTTTTCCAGACATTACAAATTGGAAACCAAAATTTAAGGGAGTTGTATCACCAGACAGATTTCAAGCCAGGCTTATGGTTGGCGATTGCTCAGCCCCTCAGGTTATTTCCAGGATCCATTTCTGCACCAGTAGGAAATAGGCTGCTAAAGAGCTACAACCTCAGAAGGGAGGTTCCTCACCTAAGCCCTGCCAAAGTGGCTGTGGAGGACCATGGATAAAGGAGATTCAGAGATAGAACTTGGGGCAGACAATTGATTGACCAAGAACTCTCTTCACTGTTATGTCTGATATTTCTTGTTATTCCAGCCTAGAAGAATGTGGTACGTGCTATTAACCAATGACCACTATTCATTCTCAAAACCAAAGTGTCCCAAAATTTTCAGTGGTTTAATAACCACTGACAGTTGGAATATTAACAGTGGTTAAACTTTCTAGTTAGCTTTAGGTTTCCAGGCTGTGAGGAGTTATAATGTGACCTGAGAGAACTGTATTTTCTACCTGCCTTGGAGCTGAAAATAGAAAATGGATGTGACTTTCAGTGTTTCTCCCTTAAAAGAGATACAGATATTTGAAAAATAGGAAGGTGTGCCTATGAAGACACTGGATTGATGTTTGCAGTCCAAGCCACCTTTTTCCTCATCCCAGGAATAGTGTCCCCTTTTGTTTTGGGAAATTGTTTATTTCCCATTTTCAGTCATGGGTGGGCTCCAAATGGCTCAAGCTCATTGGTATATCCCACTTTCTCAGATATAGTAATTATTTCTCAGGTAGGCACATAATCCAGTCGTAACCAACACAACACAAGGAGAGGTTTGCGGGGACTTTGTGTAAAAGGAGCTTTTTTTTCTTATTCCTCTAGAAGGTGTGTTGTGAACATTGGAAGTCTGCAATGGCTACAGTCATTTTACTCTGAATAAAAGGATCTGAAACTAAGAGAGTAGTTGAAGGAAGCGTAATGTTGGGTTTGAGAATGGAGTAAATGCCATGCAAGGCAGAACAAGACTGACTCCTCGGTAACATCATTTTTAACCACTAGATCAAGCTTCCCTTGAGACGAGTATTAACTTCAAATTTTTCAAATAGGTGAGCCAATAAATGCTTCATGGTAGAGTATGGTGGTTAAGAGGAAGTTTCTGGAGCTAGACTATTCAAATTATAGCTCCATACTCACTAATTGTGAGATCTTGGAAATAATGCTTTCATTCCTTAATTTTTTCACATGTACTATACAGGTAAGAATATGTTGACCTCATAGGATTGTTGTAGAATTAGATTAATACATAGGAATGTATGTATGTATCTATCTATCTATCTTTCACATTGCTCAAAACATAATAAGCACTAACCAAGAGTTATTTTATTTTATTATTATACCTAATAATACAAGACATTACAAGCCATTTTGAGTTATGTTATCTGTCATTTGGAACTGAAAGAGGATAGCAACTGTTACAAATGTTAATTTTTGTCCTTATCTAATATATGATAATATCCACAACACCTGTATCTGGATAAAAAAGAAAATATTGAAAAACACCACATCAACCAGCTTCTGAAAGACATAACCTTGCAGGAAAATTACATTTTTTATGAGGTTGAGGTTTTATTATCCATACTATATTCCTGGCCCAGTGAAGAATCTGTTTTACTAATATTCTACAATTTTGCCAGGCACTTATATAAAAGCTCAGATACATAAAAGCTAATTATTTAACATGTAAGTGCAATTAAAACATATAAGGGGCCTACCTTCATGCTGCTTCAATTTTTCACAGCTCTCATCATTTCTATCATTCATGCTGATGCTTTAAAATTTAAAAATGCTCTTGATGTTTTCATCATGAAGTCTTTGCCCATGCCTATGTTCTGAATGGTATTGCCTAAGTTTTCTTCCAGGGTTTTTATGGTTTTCGGTTTTATATTTAAGTCTTTTTTTTTTTTTTTTTTTTTTTGAGACAGAGTTTTGCTCTTGTTGCCCAGGCTGGAGTGCAATGACACAATCTCGGCTCACTGCAACCTTCTGGATTCAAGCGATTCTTCTGCCTCAGCCTCTCAAGTAGCTGGGACTACAGGTGCCTGCCACCACGTCTGGCTAATTTTTGTATTTTTAGTAAAGATGGAGTTTCACCATGTTGGCCAGGCTGGTCTTGAATTCCTGACCTCAGGTGATCCACCCGCCTCAGCCTCCCAAAGTGCTGGGATTACAGGCGTGAGCCACCGCACCCAGCCCTTAAGTCTGTAATCCATCTTGCATTAATTTTTGTATAAGGTGTAAGGAAGGGATTTAGTTTCAGTTTTCTGCATAGGGCTAGCCAGTTTTCCTAGCACCATTTATTGAATAGGAGATCCTTTCCTTATTGCTTGTTTTTGTCAGGCTTGTCAAAGATCAGATGGTTGTAGACGTGTGGTGTTAATTCTGATGTCTCTGTTCTGTTCATTGGTCTATATGTCTGTTTTGGTATTAGTACCATGCTGTTTTGGTTACTGTAGCCTTATAGTATAGTTTGAAGTCAGGTAGCATGATGCCTCCAGCTTTGTTCTTTTTGCTTAGGATTCTAGTTCTCCTTGAAGAGGTCCTTCACATCCCTTGTTAGCTGTATTCCTAGGTATTCTCTTTGTAGCAATTGTGAGTGGGAGTTCATTCATGATTTGGCTCTCTGATTGTCTATTGTTGGTGGGATCTAATTAAACTAAAGAGCTTCTGCACAGCAAAAGAAAACTATCATCAGAGTGAGCAGGCAACCTACAGAAGGGGAGAAAATTTTTGCAATCTACCCATCTGACAAAGGTCTAATATCCAGAATCTACAAGGAACTTAAGCAAATTTACAAGAAAAAACAAAACAAAAACCCATCAAAAAGTGAGCAAAGGATATGAACAGACACTTCTCAAAGGAAGACATTTACATGGCCAGGAAACATGAAAAAAAGCTCAACATTACTAATCATTAGAGAAATGCAAATCAAAACCACAATGAGATACCATCCCACACCAGTCAGAATGGTGATTATTAAAAAGTCAAGAAACAATAGATGCTGGCGAGGTTGTAGAGTGATAGGAATGCTTTTACACTTTTGTTAGGAATGTAAATTAGTTCAACCATTGTGGATGACAATATGGCAATTCCTCAAAGATCTAGAGCCAGAAATACCATCTGACTCAGCAATCTCATTTATATACCCAAAGGAATATAAATCACTCTACTATAAAGACACTTGCACACGTATGTTTATTGCAGCACTATTTATAATAGCAAAGACATGGAACCAACTGAAATGCTTGTCAATGGTAGAGTGAATAAAGAAAATGTGGTATATATACACATTCGAATACTATGAAGCCATAAAAAGGAATGAGATTTTTGCCAGGACATGGATGAAGTTGGAAGCTATCATCCTCAGCACAGTAACACAGGAACAAAAACGAAACACCGCATGTTCTCACTCATAAGTGGGAGTTGAACAATGAGAACACATGGACAAAGAGAGGGGAACAACACACACTGAGGCCTGTTGGATGGTGGGGGATGAGGGGAGGGAACTTAGAAGGGGGTCAATAGGTGCAGCAAACTACATATGCTTATGTAAAAACCTGCATGTTTTGCACATGTATCACAGAACTTAAAGTACAGTTTTTAAAAAAAGCTCATGTATGTCTTAATTTAAGCATCTTGAGAGTAAAGATTTAAGCTTAGCACCTCCTGTGCTCCTCAGTGACCCCAAACAACTTCTAGTTGGTTTTATGCATGCTCCCTGTTAAACAGATAAGAAAGATACTTATACTTTTATCTTCTTTATAAGATTTCATCATATGCTTCAATAGGCATTTAATCCTGTGGTTTAATTACTGCCAGAAAAATGGCTTAATAGCAAATGTTTTAAAACCAAAGTCATTTGGTTTTATACCAAACGCCATTTTTGGGACATACATTCTTTTACAATTATTTGGCTAACAGTCAACAATTCTATATATCAGATCAAGTCTTTCCATTATTTGCCAGTACACTTTACAACTCATCTATCTTGAAGGAATAATCGGGAACTTTTTATGGCTAAAATTAGATATTTTTTTGTTTAGTAAATTGTATAAGAAACATGAATAAAAGAATCAAATGAATGAATGGTCCTTCTGCTGTCAACATTCTCCAAATAGTTCTCTAAGCACTCTGTCAGCTGCTTTGCATTTTTCTTCCCTGCTCCACTTTTGCTTCTGCCTCCAACATTTTCCCCAAATCATTCTTGTTAAGATCTCTGACACATCCATATTGCTGAATCCAGTATATGCTTTCTGTCCTCCTTTTACTTGACCTCTCACCATATTTGACATTAAGGATCTCCACATAACATCTTTCTTGTTCTTGTAACCTCTCTCTTTTCTAGTGTTCTTCCCATCCATGTATCCCATTCTTCTAAGCCTCTATGGTTGATTTTCCCTCCTCTAAACTGACCTCTGTTTGAGTTCTTCAATGTTTCATAATAGGATTTTCTTTTTGCCCTCTAAAGGCTTTATACGGTAGATCTCCTGTGTTTCTACAGATTTAAATACCATCTACATGTTGATGACGTTCAACTAATATCCATTTCTTTAGATTTCCAATTTTATATGTCTATGTTTCCATTTGACATCTTTATTTGGATATTTTATGGACACCCCAGATGTAACATCAATCTTGTGAATCCCATTCCATTCATAGTCTTCCTCATGTTAGCAAATGGCACTTTCTTTCTCCCCAGCTGCATTATCCAGAAACTTGGGAAAGATCCTTTATTCTTTCCTCTCCCAATCCTCCTGCTTCCAAAGTGTTAGTATGGCCTGAATGTTTTATCTACAAATTACGTCTTATATGCTTCTATTCTCCACATCCATTACCAGCACTCCAAGTCAAGCCATATACATAGCAGGTCATAAAACTACTTTAATAGTATTCTGAGTTTCCCTATGCCCTTTCTTACTTCATACCTCTGTAATCTATTCTCTCTATAGCATCCAGAATGATCTTTTAAAAATAGATTTTGCTACTTGCCTACTTAAAAATAGTTCAATAGATTTCTATTGCAATTTGAATTAAACCCAAACTTCAGATGTTGGCCTGAAAGACCTGGTATGGAATGACCCTTGCTTATCTCCGGACTCTTAACTTATATCTTTAATATGCTCTGGCCATATTGCCTTTTACCTTCCCTCCCAAGATTTTACCCATTTTAGAACCACTGTGCATTGTATTAGGTTGGTGAAAAAATAATTTTGGTGTTTGCCATTACTTTTAATATTTAATATTATTTCTTCATGAAATGCTCTTTCTTTAGCATTTCACATGGATGTCTCCTTCTCAGCTTAGTTATCACCTCTTGAGGGAGACACGAGGGTTTTTTTCTAAATAGGTTATTTTCCTATCTTATTCTCTATCATAGTGCCACATTTGATTTTTTCCTTGTATTTTGCATTTAAATTTTTATTTATTAGTGGGGTTCACTTGCCTGTTATTTTTATCTCCCCATTACAACATACAGATCTAATTGTTTGAATAAATATGTAAGTAGAATTGTTTGATGTGTGAACAGTGATGTGAGGTTTTCTCTCCCTCTATAATCTCCTAGATAACCAACATGGAGAAAGGCTGAAATAATAATACTGGACTTTACTCATCTTCTAGGCCTCTGGTGGAAATAAATGAAATATACATAATTCTTTGAGGAAAGGTACTGATAATTCTAAGTATGTTCTAGTATAAGAGTAAGTATATGAAAGTTTACCCTCTGCCTGCTCTATATTTATTATTGAAGGTATGTTTTATGGAAATTTAAATTATATACACCTTTGTGGTTTTAACAAATTTATTTCATCAAACACATATTGAACATCTGCTATTTAGTAGGTAACATATCAGGACTAAAGAAGGGTGAAATGGCTTGCATTTTAATGTGTTTACAGTCTAGTACAGGGACTAATACATGCAAAAATCATGATACTAAAAAATGTGATAAGTACTACTAAAAAATTAGAAAATACTATAGGAAGCCAGAAGAAAGATGAAAGTGGGTGTTGAAAAGTTTCCAACAATATAACTTTCCACATCTCCGATGGAGACAATAAAGCCATCTGTCATTTTATACTGAACCTAGAATAGCTTGGCACATCATAGAGCCCTAATAAATATTTGTTGAAGGAATAATGCGTTGAAATAGTAAAACTGGACTTTCCAACAGAGAAAAACCTTGGTCCCTTGGAAAGCCTTACACTTTATTACATTCTATACTCCTTTGAGTCTTGTTTCTTGGTTTAGCCCCTTTTCTTTTTTTAGTTTATCATCCCAATTGAACAAGATCTATGAAAAACCCTGGCTGTGATGAGCCAAAATCAATGTTGAAAAATATAGCATTTCCCACTTCAAATATCTGAACCAAAGCCTAAAGTGCAAGTATATTTTTGTGCTTTTTTTTTCCTCCAGACTTTTAACTTTAAAGTTCTTTTATGCTTTTCTTTCTTCTTTATTTGCTTCACTATCCTCTTCTACTTTATCTCTGTTCCTTAGTGTATTAGATGACATAAACATCCAATTGTCTTCCTTTTTGGTCCTTGTTAAGCTCTTTCAATTGCTAGATTGGTTTAAGTCACCAGTTAAGTCTGTACTGAGGCTATGTTTTGTCTAGAATGCCAGAAGAAATAAAAAAGAGAAAAATGACTGACTTGACCTGTTCTATAACATCTTCATTACATTATAGCAATAGTTTTACCAGTAGACCATTATCTCCCATGCACCTCCCAAAAATAAATTTTAGATGGAAAGCACATCTATAAAATAGCCAAAATTGGTGCTGCTCTGTTGGACAGGAGTGGGAGAATTGGAGTCCCCGATTCCTTGGCCTCTTTCTGCTGCGGGGGTTGGGAACATAACTCCATAGAACCCTATATGATCTCTCAATACAATTTGAAAACGGCTGCGTTTATTTATGGCCAGCTCTTCTGATGCTCTATGGGCCTTTCAGTAGGAATCCACCCCAGTGTAGGGTTAGAGAAGGACAGAAAATTTCTGGAGAATTTTATTCCAGAGAATAGGCCTCAAGTGATTTAATTATTTCTACAA